>NC_000010.11:11676666-11828181 GCF_000001405.40 Homo sapiens | reverse complement strand
GCCTTACCCTAAATTTTATAGACCAGGAAACCAAGTTCCAGAAGGGTGAAGGGTGAACCCTGAGGCCACACAGCTATTGGGGGCTGAAACCTGACACAGATCCCTTAAATTCCAGTGCAGTACCATTCTTTATCCTGATATGCCCATTAACCTAATTAAAAAAAATAAAATGTAATCTGTGCACATCACAAAGAGACATGTATCAAAAAGAGAAGGTGGCTCTTGCCTGTAATCCCAGCACTTTCAGGGGCTAAGGTGGGGGGACTGCTTGAACCCAGGGGTTCAAGACCATTCTGTGCAACACAGCGAGGCCCATCTCTATCAAAAATACAAAAATTAGCCAGGCATGGTGGCACGCACCCGTAGTCCCAGCTACTCTGGAGGCTGAGGGGGGAGGATCATCTGAGCCTGGGAGGTCGAGGCTGCAGTGAGCTGTGATTGTGCCACTGCATTCCAGTTTAGGTGACAGAGTGAGACCATGTCTCAAAAAAAAAAAAAAGGACTTCCATGTTTGTATGCCCAATGACCCGCTCAACAGCTTGGCACATTGTACGTGGTCAATCCATAAATACTGTACTGCCAGATGAACTGATCAATACCCCAGGCTTGGGGTCAAGAACTACAACAGGCAGAAGATTAAAAATGACAAAGCGCAAGTCAGACAACTGGCTTCCGAGGAGAAGCAGCAGCAGCCTAAAAGAGAAAGCAGGAAAAAACCCACAACAGAATGAAGCTTTAGGAAGGAACCTAAATATACAAACCGAGCCCTATACAAATAACTGTACTTAGTCACATGCAAAATTTCATGATACGAAAGCTAACACAAAAAGAGAATCGAGTTCTCAGCAGACATTTCTCTAAAGAAGATGTGGCCAACAAGCATCTGAAGAGATGTCCAGCAACGAAGTCGTTCGAGAAATGCACCAAAACCACCATGAGATACTACTTCATACCCACTAGGAGGACCGGAATTTTTTTTTTTTTTTTGTAAAGGAAGGCGAAGCATGGTGGCTCATGCCTGTAATCCCAGCACTTTGGAAGGCAGATGTGGGAAGATCGCTTGAACCCAGGAGTTTGAGACCAGCCTGGGTAACATGGCAAAACCCAGTCTCTACAAAAAACACAAAAACACAGCTGGACGTGGTGGCACGTGCCTGTGGTCCTAGCTACCCTGGAGGCTGAGGTGGGAGGATCACTTGAGCCTGGAAGGTTGAGGCTGCAGTGAGCTGAGATCGTGCCACTGCACTCCAGCCTGGGCAACACAGTGAAATCCTATGTCAGAGGAAAAAAAAAAAAAAAAAAGGCCGGGTGCAGTGGCTCATGCCTGTAATCCCAGCACTTTGGGAGGCCGAAGCCGGCGGATCACGAGGTCAGGAGATCAAGACCATCCTGGCTAACACGGCGAAACCCCGACTCTACTAAAAATACAAAAAATTAGCCCGGCGTGGTGGTGGGCGGCATCTGTGGTCCCAGCTACTCAGGAGGCTGAGGCAGGAGAATGGTGTGAACACGGGAGGCAGAGCTTGCAGTGAGCCAAGATCACACCACTGCACTCCAGCCTGGCTGACAGAGAGAGACTCCGTCTCAAAAAAATAAATAGATAAATACATAAATACATAAATAAAAAGGCGGGGGAAAATAACAAGTGGTTGACAAGGATGTCGAGAAATTAGAACCCTCACACGTTGCTAGTGGGAACACAAAATGGTACAGCTGCTATAGAAAACAGTTGGCAGCTCCTCAGCAAGTTAATCACAGAATTACCATATGACCCGGGAATTCTACTTTCAGGTACGGACCCAAAAGAATTGACAACAGGTGTTCAAACAAAAACTTGTACACAACGGTTCATAGCAGTACTATTCACAATAGCCAAAAGGTGGAAACAACCCAAAGTCATTCATCTGATGAATGGGTAAATAGAATGCGATCTGTCCACACAATGGAACATTATTCGGCGATAAAAAGGAGGGAAGCAACGATACACGCCGCGACACGGACGGACCTTGAAAAACATTGTGCTAAGTCAAAGACGCCAGACACAAGAGGCCACAGATTTTAAGATTCCATCTGTATAAACATCCAGAAGGGGCAAGTCTACCGAGACAGAAGGAGATCAGTGGCTGCCAGAGGTTGGGAGAGGGCAATGGGAATCGTCTGCTTAATGGGTTTCCTTTTGGAGTGATGAAAAAGTTCTGGAACTTGATAGTGGTGATGATTGCATAACATTGGGAATGGAATGTACTTAATGCCACTGATTTGTGCACTTTAAAGCGGTAAATTTTATGTTCTATGTATTTGACTATAATAAAAAAGATAAACAGCATGAACTCTTCACAGTGCTACAGTCTCTGGCAATACCTAGTCCGAAGAGACACGTTCACGAAGAGCTCTCCCATCCCTGTCCGACAAGGCAGAATGCTCTCCCCATACAGTCCTTCCCTGCCAATCCTGAATGCACAGATTAGAAACCTAGCACCAACTTTCTTAAAATACTCTTAGGTTTCAAGATGAATGCTGCCAGTCTAGAAAGGGGACAAGGGCATTATGGAAAGCGGCACCTTCACTGTGAGTTCCGCAGACAGAGGCTGTTGATGCCACTGGCTGGACATAACCCGTGCAGAGGGCAGTGCCTCCATGAACACAGGCTTTCCTATGGTGGCCAGGAGACCCCTCAGAGTGGAGCGGGGACGGCTGCAGTCAATCAGGGGCGGAGTTGCAAGGCCCTCTTCTTAGAGCACAGAGGCACCTAGGAAGCAAGCCACCAAGTGCAAAGGAAAGTGAAACGCAACGATGGCCTTCACCGTCAAAGGAAAGAGCTCAGGTTCTGGGATGCTCCTAGGATTCCCCTGGCACCTCCCGAATGGCCTCTGTGCCACCGGCAGCTGCCCCACAACACTGCAGATAAGATGCACTTGAACTTCTAAGTTCTAGAGGCTCCCCTGTTCTCAGCTCTGCTCTACGCAGGCCCTTCCTCTCTCCCCCTTCAGGTTTCCAGGCTCCACTCCTGGAGTTATCTGAGATGATCTTCCAAATCAACACACAGTGCCAACTCTGGGCGCCTTGGGTGTCTAAGAACTTTGGAACCAAGGCCAGGTATCTCTTCAGCTGCCGATGAAGGCTTGCTTGATCTGGTTTTAATCAGTTTGGGCCATGTGGCTGTTATCTAGAAATGACTGTATGCTGGACGACCAGTCACGGCTCTGCGCGCTGTAGGTGGTCAGTCTACAAATATTCCTGAATGAATTAATGGGCAACTCCCCCACCCCCGGCAACCACAGATTCAAACACGCTCAGACCTTCCTAAAAGCATCGCTCCTCTTTCCAGCCTTCGCTCCACTATATCACTCTAATTTTGGATTTCTGATTTCTAGTAATGGAGAAAATGTGTTACTTTTAAATCATCAGCATCTAAAATTTTCAAAGAAAGCTCATTTGAAGTGCTGTTACCAAGGAATATAATCCAGTCGCTTTAACATGGCTATTACTAGTCTGGACAAGAAAACACACAAGATTCCATACATACGCTGTCAACTTTGGCAAGAAAGATTTTAGACAACTTCCATCCTTCCCACCCAATCCCAAGTCAATAGGGCATTTGTTTGTATTTCCACATTGGCTTCATGAACGAAAATACCTCCTCCACCTAGAAAAACAATCAGTAACATTCAGACACGGAACTTGGAGGGCAAACTTTTTAGTGCATGCTGGGGCACTTTTATGTAGTGTTTTTAAAAAATAATGTAAAAAGTATTTTTAATAAAGTTTTCTCCTATGAGTATTTCCCTCAAGTTTCCACGTACGCCTGGTTTGGTCTTTCGATACCTTTCAGAAATACCGATTTTTAAAAAATGTTCTCCGTTAAAATTGGAGCCAGAAAGAACCTTCTTCCTACAGATCTGAACGTTTTACTCTGTTTAGGGTGGAAAAACACACACACACTCATTTTCCTTCACTCACTTTAACTTTTCTGCTCTGCACGCACTAGGTTCTGGTAGAGTTAAAAGTTTTCTGAGGTTAGTTCCTGTGGTTAAGGAAAAAAAAAATACACCAAACAACTACATGCTTAAATTTAGACTCCGTAAAACAATACTGGGAAACTTTCAAAGCCTTGGAGAAATACTGGAGTTTATTTTACTGCCTTTTGTTCAATTTCATCACACGGGCCACATTTTCTCCTCTATTTTAGTCCCTCCCGCCGCGCTGGGCTGGGCAGACCCTGCACATCCCCGCGTGATTCCAGGACCTGGGGGCCCGGGTGGAACAGGTGGCTCCGCCCGCCGTGTCGGACCCGCACCCTCTCCCCGAGGCCGCATGGGGTCCCACGGCGCAAAGGACAGGGGTCCCGGGTTGGGGGACGGACGGTGGGGACAGCGGGGACCCTCTGCGCCCAAGGCTGGGAAACCCGCCTCCACCCCTGAGCCCCCAGGATAGCCCCAGACTCGGAACCCAGCGCGCTCCCCGCCGCGCCCCGACTCCGAGGTCCCCGAGGAGGCAGCGACGCCCCGGGGTCGGGGGTCGGGCACCGGGTGGCCTCTGCGGCGGCGGCGCCGGGCTCCCCTAGTCAGAGCGAGGAGCGCGCCAAGGCAGGGTCCGGCGCCCCCTCTCTGCCCGACCCGCCGGCGTCCCAGCCAGAGCCCAGCGCCGCCACCGCCGCCAGGACGCCCTCCCGTCGCTCCAGCCCTGCCCGGAGTCCTAGGGCCCCACTCACCTCGCGGGAGACCCCTACCCCGGGACTCAGGTGTCCACGCCGCCAGCGACCCGGAGCCCTCACGCCGCCGCCCGTCTGGCGCAGACTGTTCCGGGACGCCCCGCCGCGCGCTCTCCCTGTGCGCGCCCACCCGCGCGCGCTCTACTGCCGCCGCGCGCTCGCGCCGCCCGAACTCGCACTCCTTAGGCACGCACTGCGCGCGCCCGCGGCGCTTAAAGGGCCGGGCCCCGCCGCGCTGGGGGACCTCGCGGCCGCCTCCCGGGGGTCCTCGGTCAAGGTGTGAAGTTCGAGTTGGGGGACAGCACCGTGAAAATCCCCAACCCCATCGCCGAGCGACCCACGCGGAGAAAAGCAATAGGGATGTGTGTCTGAAGCTTGCAAGAGATGGGACATTAATTTAATCTAATTTTTATTGAGACAGGGTCTTGCTGTGTCGCCCAGGCTGGAGTGCACGTTGTACCATCTTGGCTCACTGCAACCTCCACCTCCCAAGTTCAAGTGATACTCGCATCTCAGCCTCCCGAGTAGCTGGTACCACAGGTGCATGCCACCACACCCAGCTAATTTTAAAATTTTTTGTAGAGATGGGTGGGTGGGGGGGGGGGTCTCATTATATCGCCCAGGCTGGTCTCGAACTCCTGGGCTCACGCGATCCTCTCACTTCAGCCTCCCAAAGTGCTGGGATTACAGGCCTGAGCCACTGCACCTGGCCTTTAATTTTTTCTTTTGTTTTTTATTATGGTCAGCTTTGAGAGGCTATTTTATACTTAATAATGCTGATGCAACTTATTGCATACCTGTACCCTCAGACACAGCATTTAATGTGCATACACCACATACATTATTTCATCTAATCCTTAAAATGGTTTTCTGGTTTCTTAACCCCATTTTACAGAGCAGGAAAGCTGAGGTTCAGACAGCTGAAGAAACTCATGGGAGAATTTTTGACCCCATGGCTCGTTGCATTTTCTTCTTCAGGCTATCACCGTGGAAATATCTCCGAAGGTTAATAGCTGGTTGCGGAAGGCTTTTGTAAGTTGGTGGAAGTTAATGTTACTGGGTTTAACTCAGTAGGCAGGGAGAAAGCAAGAGTTATGGGGTTGTATTAATTGTAGGATTTGTTATATACTCAAATGACAAACGTTGTAACAACCTAGATTCCCAAAATGTTTGTGTTGCTTCCCATTTTACAGAAAACTAAGAAGGAAATGGTTGCACAGAATGACTGAGTCACTGGCCCCACTCAGGGTTGAGCCCCAATGCCTTAGTCCTGAGGTCATTTCTTTGCCCTCCCCAGAAAGAGATACCTGATTAAAGGGAAGAAAACTTTTCCTCTAATAACACATTGGCCTCACCTAACTCCCTGCATCTTTAATTAATGTTTACAAAGCACTTTAATCTACCCAACATGCTACTTAATTGGGTCAGTATTATTATCCTCTCTTTCTGAACAAAATCCAGGAGACAATCAACTCTGACAATCCTTAATCCTCAGTGAATAATAAACCTAAGCTTTCTGGTTATGTTCTTTTATTTTCCCTCTTACATTTTTGTCTCATGTTGTGTTAAATATGAACGCATTTATCATGAAGTGACATAATAAATGGTAATATTAAACATCTACCTATAGGTGACAGGTAATATAGCAGCTGCTGTCTTTAAGGAATTCATTTTATTTTATTTTTTGAGACAGGGCCTGGTTCTGTTGCCCAGGCTAGAGTGCAGTGGTGAAATTGTAGCTTACTGCAGCCTCCAACTCCTGGGCTCAAGTGATTCTCCTGCCTCAGCCTCCCAAGCTGGGACTCCAGGCACGAACCATTATGCCTGGCTAATTTTTTATTTTTCTTTTTGTAGAGACAGGGTCTAATTCTCACGGTAGTCCCAAACTTCTGGGCTCAAGTGATCCTCTCCCCTGGGCCGCTCAAAGTGCTGGGATTAAAGGCATGAGCCACCACGCCCGGCCCTTTAAGGAAATCAGATCAAGAGAAAAAAAAAACTTTCCCTTGATTTTGATAAATGATAATTTTGATAAATGTTGATAAATGCTTCCTAGAATTATTTTTCTTTTTATTATTCTTTTTGCTTGGTTAAACTTTTATGGTGCCTTTTCTTACAGTTGAAAAAGAAATGAGAGGGATGAGATTGAAGGATGATGGGGTTGGCAAGGAAGAAGGGGAAAAGAAAAAGGCAGAAAAATAGAAGCAGAAAATAAACAAGGAAGAAAATGAGACTGAGAAGGCTTCAACCAACAGGCAGTTAGGGATGTGAGGCCAGCCCCTGCTAGCATGTCCTAAATCTTTATGGGAATTATGATCAGGTGGCCCTCCTGTGGCCTGGCACAGACCTGGCCAGAAAGTTAGCTCAGGCTGGTCCACTGCCCTGATGTCCCCCTGGCCTATGCACCTTTATGACAACTGAATGCACAAAGGGACTAAAAAGTGAGAAAGGACAGTGAAGCCAGGTCAGAGGAAAAGAAATGGTTTACAGGGGGAAATTTAAAGATGGTTATTTGGCCAGGCCCGGTGGCTCATGCCTGTAATCCCATCACTTTGGGAAGCCAAGGTAAGCGGATCACCCGAGGTCAGGAGTTCGAGACTAGCCTGGCCAACATGGCGAAATCCCATCTCTACCAAAAATACAAAAATTAGCTGGGCGTGGTGGCACATGCCTGTAATACCAGCTACTCAGGAGGCTGAGCTAGGAGAGTTGCTTGAACCCAGGAGGTGGAGGTTGCAGTGAGCCGAGATTGCGCCACTGCACTCCAGACTAGGTGACAGGGTCTGTCTCAAAAATAACTAAATAAAGATAGTTATTTATGAAAGTACTTAGATAATGTCCATAGGAAAAGAAATGAACAAAGAAATATCTGGAGGGTCTTTGTATTGTTACAGTTTTAAAACTTATGAAATTTTTAAAATTTCACTGTAATGTCACTTGACTTTTTCATAAATGTTTTCTGAGGCTGGTCTTTGCTAAGAAAATCCTGATAATACATGACCCCCAAATATTAAAGAAATATTAATGAACTTTATATAGGTTAAGAATTTTAAAGTAAGCTAAAAAGAAAAGCTATGTCTTTTCATGTTATAAAGGAGTATATTAATTACTGTATAAAATTGACTTCAGAGCCAGGCGCAGTGGCTCATGCCTGTAATCCCAGCACTTTGGGAGGCCGAGGCGGGTGGATCACGAGGTCAGGAGATCGAGACCATCCTGGCTAACACGGTGAACCCCATCTCTACTAAAAATACAAAAAATTAGCCAGGCGTGGTGGCGGGCGCCTTGTAGTCCCAGCTACTCCGGAGGCTGAGGCAGGAGAATGGCGTGAACCCGGGAGGCGGAGCTTGCAGTGAGCAGAGATCGCGCCACTGCACTCCAGCCTGGGCAACAGAGCGAGACTCCGTCTCAAAAATAAATAAATAAATAAATAGACTTCAGAAACTGTACTATATTGTAATATATATCATGACCACTAGAGGGAGGCAGACAGGAAAGGAGAAAGAAAGGTAAGAAAATTTCATAACTTTACTAAAAAATCGACAGCAGTTTGGATCTGACAGGGGAGATGTAAAAGACATGATTTGTTATTACCTCAAGCTGTTTATCCTTTTTGAGCCTCAGTTCCTCATCTATATAATGAGGCTATTAACGCCTACCCTGTAAGGCTAAAATGAAAGTATTTTAAAGTGTATCTGAACAAATTGAACAAATGATAGGTGAGAAAAGTTAACAAAATTAAGAAAATGAAGAAAAATATGGGCAATTGACCTATTTATTATTGAAACATAGTCTAAGGCTTTACTGATGAAATGTATCATAATAGAACAATATAACCCAGGAAAAGGTAGTGTACACTTTCATATGTGATAAAAGTCATCAAAAATAAATGAAAAAGAGATGGAGTCTCAATAAATGGAGGTAAGAAACGTAGTAATTTGAAAAGATAATCAAGTTAAGCCCTTACCTGTCATTATATGCTGAAAGATGTTCTAGCTACATTAAATAATTTTAAGGTCTAGCGTGGTGTCTCACACCTGTAATCCCAGCACTTTGGGAGGCTGAGGCAGGAGGATTGCTTGAGCCCAGAATTTCAAGACCAGCTTGAGCAACATAATGAGACCCCCGTCTCCACAAAAAAATACAAAAATTACCCAGATGTGGTAGTGCATGCCTTTAGTCCCAGCAGCTCACAAGGCTGAGATGGGAGGATCACCTAAGCCTGGGGGCGTTGAGGCTGCAGTGAGCTGTGATTGCGCCACTGCACTCCAGGTTGGAGGCAGAGAGAGATCCTGTCTCAAAAAAACAAAAAAAAATTTTAAAATTAGGGGAACATATAGGCAAATATTTATGTGATCTCAAGGTGAGGAAAGAAAAGAAACAGAATACTCAGGAAGGAAATGACCATTAGATTAGATTACATAAAAATTTTTAAAATTCTGGTAACTAAAAATATTGCAAACAGAATTCTAAAAGACAAAAAAAAATCTGAAATGACAGAACTCTGCATAACAAATCCAAGATTTAATTGCATCTTTAGGAGTACACACAGATTAATAAGAAAACCCTAATAAGTCTGTGGGAAAATTTCCTTAAAGAGAAAATTAAAGTGGTTAGTAATTAGCCATGCGTATATCTGTGTAAGTGTGTGTTATTATATTTTAAAGGGTTTAGGTTACCTAGTAATTTAAAAAATAAAAATGTTAAATAATACACAATATTCTCACCTTATAAATTAGAAAATATATTTCAGGTTCTAATATTCAATGCTGGCAGGAGTGCAAAGAAATGGGCAATTTTATTTATTTATTTATTTAGAGATGGAGTCTTGCTCTGTCCCCCAGGCTGCAGCGCAGTAGTGCTATCTCAGCTCACTACAACCTCAGCCTCCCAGGTTCAAGCGATTCTCCTGTCTCAGCCTCCTGAGTAACTGGGACTACAGGCGTGCACCACCACGCCCGGCTAATTTTTTGTATTTTTAGTAGAGATGGGGTTTCACCATGTTGGCTAAGCTGGTCTCGAACTCCTAACCTCAACCGATCCACCCACCTCGACCTCCCAAAGTGCTGGGATTACAGGTATGAGCCACCATGTCTAGCCAATGGGCAATTTTATTTATTTATTCTTAGATGGAGTCTCACTCTGTCTCCCAGGCTGGAGTCCAGTGGCACGATCTTGGCTCACTGCAGCCTCCGCCTCTCAAGTTCAAGTGATTCTCCTGCCTCAGCCTCTGGAGTAGCTGGGACTACAGGCACGTGCCGCCACGCCCGGCTAATTTTTTGTATTTTTAGTAGAGATGGGGTTTCACCATGTTAGCCAGGATGGTCTCCATCTCCTGACCTCGTGATCCACCCGCCTCGGCCTCCCAAAATGCTGGGATTACAGTCATGAGCCACTGAACCCGGCTCCAGTGGGCAATTTTAAATACAATTAGTGGGAACATAAGTTGATATAACAACTGAAAAGCAATTTTGTAAAATATTTCAAGAGCTTAAAATGTTTATGTGTTTTGACCCTATAATTCCATATCTAGGGCTTCTACGGAAAAAATAAAAAATAACCACAAAGATTTATGCTTAAAGATATGTACACACTGTCTCCCTTTTCCATACTGTCAGGAAATTAGAAACAACCAAAATACCCCAAATCAGGGAGAAGTTTAAATAAATATTATGCAGCTGTTAAAAATGAGGAATTTTTTTTTTTTTTTTTTTTTGGCCAGGTGCGGTGACTCACACTTGTAATCCCAGCACTTTGGGAGGCTGAGGCGGGCAGATCACCTGAGGTCAGGAATTCAAGACCAGCCTGGCCAACATGGTGAAACCCCATCTCTAGTAAAAATACAAAATTTAGCCAGGTGTGGTGGCAGGTGCCTGTAGTCCCAGTTACTTGCAAGGCTGAGACAGGAAAATCTCTAGAACCTGGGAGGAGGAGGTTGCAGTGAGCTGAGATTGCGCCACTGCACTCCAGCCTGGGCGACAGAGTGAAACTCTGTCTCAAAAAAAAAAAAAAAGGAATTTTTTATGAACTACAGGAAAATACCTAAATATATTGTTAAGAGAGAAAAAAGAACATTTCAAAATTGTATGTAAATTATTACTTCAGCTATGGAAAATGCATGTATATACAGAAAACCCAGACAGAAATATATTAAAAGGATAACAGTTACTCTTTCTGGATGTAATTATGTGTAATTCTTATTTATAGCATTGTATATGTTTCAAACTTCCTTTTGTAACTTCATATTCTTTCTTTTTTTTCTTTTGACACAGAGTTTCGCTCTTGTTGCCCAGGCTGGCATACAATGGTGTGATCTCGGCTCACTGCAACCTCTGCCCCCCAGGTTCCAGCAATTCTCCTGCCTCAGCCTCCCAAGTAGCTGGGATTACAGGCATGCACCACCACACCCAGCTAATTTTGTATTTTTAGTAGAGACGGGGTTTCACCATGTTGGTCAAGCTGGTCTTGAACTCCTGACCTCAGGTAATCCGCCCACCTTGGCTTCCCAAAGTGCTGGGATTCCAGGCGTGAGCCACCACTCTGGCCTCATATTCTTTTTATAATGAACAAACACTAATATATTTCATTTTTTTAGATGAGACAGTAAATGCCAGTGTGCACAACATAGAATCTGGCTTATATCAAACTTTTTTTTTTTTTTTTTGGCAAAGTCTCACTCTGTGCCCCAAGCTGGAGTGCAGTGGTGGGATCATGGTTCACTGCAACCTCTGTCCCCTTGGCTTAGGTGGTCCTCCCACCTCAGCCTCCTGAATAGCTGGGATTACAGGCGAGTGGCACCATGCCCGTCCACAAAGTTTCAATAAATATTTGATAGGTGTATGGAAGGAAGAGGAGATTGATGCATCTCAGGGACAACTTGTTAGTGAAGTTTCCTGATCAAAAAAAAAAAAAAAGATCAGGTAAGGTGGCTCACGCCTATAATCCTAGCACCTTAGGAGGCCGAGGCAGGAGGATAACCTGAGGTCAAGAGTTCGAGACCAGCCTGGCCAACATGGAGAAACCCCGTTCCTATTAAAAACACAAAAATCAGCCAGGCATAGTGGTGGGCGCCTGTAATCCCAGCTACTCTGGAGGCTGAGGCAGGAGAGTCACTTGAACCTAGGAGGTGGAGGTGGCAGTGAGCCGAGATCGTACCACTGTCTACTGCACTCCAGCCTGCGCAACAGAGCGAGACTCCGTCTCAAAAAAAAAAAAAAAAAAAAAGAAAGAAAGTTAAAAGTTATTCTATTTCTACAGATGAGGAAATTATGACCTGGAGACTTTTTGGTGACAAGTTTAGAGAAAAGCTATAAAAAGATAACAAACTAGTTTCACACACCCAGCAGGAGTGATGTGCCGCCTTGTCCATATTCCAGGCCTATATTTTGAAAGAGAAACACATTTCTTGTTTTGTTTGACTGTGGAAGAAAACAGTAGTGATGTCTAAGGTTAATGATAAGGGTTCTGAAAGAGAAGCAGGTCTCCAAATGGTGTCTGGTAAGAAATAAGTGTTGTTTGTGCAAACTTTAGGAACTGCAAGTGACTGAGATCCAAACAGGGCCAGAGGGTGTATGGCACCCATTTATTCTTCATTCAAAAATGATTTGTGAGGACAATCATGGTGGCTCATGACTGTAATCTCAGCACTTTGGGAAGCCAAGGTGGGTGGATCACTTGAGGCCAGGAGTTTGAGACCAGCCTGCCCAACATGGTGAAACCCTGTCTCTACTTAAAAAAAAAAAAAAAAAAAAATTAGCTGGGTGTGGTGATGCATGCCTGTAATCCCAGCCACTTGGGAGGCTGAGGCAGGAGAATCACTTGAACCCAGGAATCAGAGGTTGCAGTGAGCCAAGATCGTGCCACTGCACCCCAGCCTGGGTAACAAGAGTGAGAGTCTTTCTAAAAAAAAAAAAAAAAAAAAAAAAAAAAAAAATTGTGGTCTGTTCTGTGCTGTTTGTGCATAAGGTCCGAGAGATGCCACCATGAACAGCAGAGATAAACTCCCTTGCCTGCATGGAACTTATAGTCCAGGAGGGGTTGGGGGCTACAGGCAAGAATCAGATGGGAAGCCATTCATGGCTAACAATTAATTAATCCACAGATAGAATATAAGTGATTCTGCAAATGAAGCAACAGGTAGGATGATTTCCCTAAAGATAAGCCTGAGAAGTGACTGCAGTTAAAATTTTGCTGAGGACTATGTGTTTTGCTTCTGCTGACCTCTGGCTAGTTTTTGGTTTGCAGATGGAGTAGGCCACTCTGGCAGGATGTTGAAACTGGCTTGGGAACCCTGCAGTATGTGGGGAGATCAAGGTAAGGCAGCTGCAGAGAGAAAGCGAGGCTTTTATTGATTGATTGATTGAGATGAAGTCTCACTCTGTCCCCCAGGCTGGAGTGCAGTGGCGCGATCTTGGCTCACTGCAACCTCTGCCTCCTGGGTTGGAGCAATTCTCCTGCCTCAGTCTCCCAAGTAGCTGGGATTACAGCCACGCACCACCACGCCTGGCCAATTTTTGTATTTTTAGTAGAGATGAAGTTTCACCATGTTGGCCAGGCTGGTCTTGAACTCCTGACCTCAGGTGATCCACCCACCTCGGCCTCCCAGACTGCTGGGATTACAGGTGTGAGCCACCGCGCCTGGCCAAGGCTTTCTTTTAAAGAAGAGCTTCAGGAAGTTTCCTAGGTAAGGCATCCTTTAACCTCCAGCTTCCCGCCAAACCTCCAGTAAAACCTACATTCTCCCCGAGTGCTTTGCGGGTGAACTTTGTTTTCAGGAGATTTGAATATGAGTGACATTGGCCTCAGGTGAGTGCCAGGTAACAGCAGGGGTCCCCACTGAAACCCACTTCTGTTTGTGTTACAGACATAGGAGGCGGCCCATCGGAAAGGGAAGATGGGCACCGTGCGGAGAGGACCTGGCGCACGCTGGGAGCTGGTGTTACCCTTCTGGGAAGTTTATTGTTGTCGAGCCTTTTCAGTTCGGGTATTTCATAATACCAGATTTCTAATTTTTCCATACAATGAATTCAGTGGTGACTCATGACATAACTTCCTTTCCCATCTGCCCCTGAACTGAAGGGTGTTCATTTCCTGAATTCTGAATTCTGAGTTGAGCTCTTTATCCCACTTGTAGGGTCAGGACAGAGGGGATCAGCAGCAGGAGAGCTGCCCACTTAGTGTGGCAGCAGACCTAGGTGTGTCCCTGAGCTTTACAGATCCAGCGCCGGGTTCTGGGCAGAGCACCTTAGTTATGAGCAGGCTCTCAGGTACTCAGTCTCCGCTGTATTTCCGTGTTGCGATATTGGTGGAGGGGACGATGGAGGACCCTTACTGACAATTCCCGGAAACACTTAACATATCTTATTTCAATTTCTAAATTGGTAAGTAGGATTTAAAAAAAAACAAAACTCTTCCTACAGAGAACCACAACAGGAAAAGAAGGGAGAAACACACCAAACGCTGCCATCCACTGCCCGTCATAAAATGTTAAGTGGGATTTTTCCTGTTGTCCTAAAATTGCAACATAGGACCAAACCTCAGGGCCAAAGGTTCTCATTAGCTCTTACAGTCCAAGTTCAAGATGTCACCAGGAGCTCACCACATCCTAGGGCTTCCTGAGGTCGGCAGGCCTGAACTGACTCTACCACCAATGACACCCCAACCCCACCCTCATTTCCAAACTAAGGAGGTTTTTGGGTCCTAAGCCATGTGGAGGTACAGTCAGTGTTCCTGGTGACAGGAGCTGGGAAGGAGGTATTCCTCCTTGTCCATCTACCCAGGGCAGTCTCCCTTCTGATGGTCACACAGTCAGCTGATTAGGACTTCACATCCGCGCTATCCCTTGGCCAGGTGATGTAATATTATCACGGAAGCAAGCTCCATTACGGATATTTACAGGCTCCATCCATACTCAAGAGGAAGGATTACATGATTATACAGGGTGGGGAGTGGGGATCGTGGAGACTGTCTTAGAATTCTTCCTATCACAAAGGAGAAGGGGTCCCTTTGATCCCTGAAGCTAAGTAAGGAGGCGTGTCCTGAGACAATCACTCATAAAGAGTTCAGCAAGATGGGGCTCTCAGCATCTCTCTCCAGCTGGACTCTTGCTAAGATACAGATGACACAGATGTTCCCAGGCCACACAGAGCTGGGCCTGGTAAGAGGCGTCAGCGTGAGTGCTCTGGGATCCAGGAGGATGGTGCCACATCTGGTTCTGTCCCTCTCGCACTGAGGTTAGGGGTAGACCTGTGACACTTGTGCCTGTCGCCAGGCTGTGGAGTTCACCGGAGTGATCTGCTCCTTTGAGGTTTGAAGCACTGGAAGCTCAGTGAGTCTGGGAAGACGATGGGACAACTCTACCCACCCCAGTTCTCCAAGTCCCTCCAAAGCAATGGAAGGGGACCCTTCACTTCCCAAGTCTCTACATGGAAGGGCACAGAAAGTTCTGGTGCGAGGGGCAGAGTGAGAAGGTGAGGGGCTGATGGGCGGGCAGTTGAGTTTGAAATGGAAGCTCTCAAATGCCTAGGACTGAATTTTTAAAATTTGTTTTATTGTGGTAAAATATACATAACATAGAATGTACTATTTTAACTGTGTTTCAGGGTACAATTCAGTGGCATTGAGTGCATTCAAAATGTTGTGCGACCATCGTCACCACCCATCTCTAGGACTTTTTCAACTTCCCCAGCTGAAGCTCTGCACCAGTTAAACAGTAACTCCCCATTCTCCCCTCTGCCAGCCCCTGACATCCACCATTCTACTTTGTCTATGAATTTGCCTATTTTAGGCAATTTATCCTTTTGTGACTGGCTGCTTTTTCTTCTTCTTCTTCTTTTTTTTTTTTTGAGATGGAGTCTTGCTCTGTTACCAGGGCTAGAGTGCAGTGGCACAATCTCGGCTCACTACAACCTCTGCCTCCCGGGTTCAAGCGATTCCCCTGCCTCAGCCTCCTGAGTAGCTGGGATTACAGGTGCCTGCCACCATGCCTGGCTAATTTTTGTATTTTCAGTAGAGATGGGGTTTTGCCATGTTGGCCAGGCTGGCCTTGAACTCCTGACCTCAAGTGATCCTCCCACCTTGGCCTCCCAAAGAGCTGGGATTACAGGCGTGAGCCACTGCACCTGGCCTGTGACTGGCTTCTTTCACTTAGCCTAATGTTTTCAAGGTTCATTCGTACTGTAACATGTAGCAGGATCTCATGTTTTAAAGCTGGATACTATTCCACTGTCTGCATAGATCACATTTTGTTTATCCATTCATCTGCCAACGGACATTGCAGTTGTGTCCACCTTTTGGTATTGTGAATAATGCTGCTATGAACACAAGTGTGCAAATATCTGTTTGAGTCCCTGCTTTCAGTGGTTTGGGGTATTCACCCAGAAGAAGAATTGCTGAATTCTATGCTAATTCTATAATAATTCTATGTTGAACTTTTTGGGAAACCACCATACTGTCTTCCACAGTGGTTGCACTATCTGATATTCCCACCAGCAATGTATGAAGGTCCCAGCTTCTCCACTTCTTTGCCAACATTTGTTATTTTCCTTTTTTTTTTAAAAAAAAGTAGGGGCTGGGCACAGTGACTCACGCCTGTAATCCCAGCACTTTGGGAGGCTGAGGCAGGTGGATCACTTGAGGTCAGGATTACAAGACCAGCCTGACCAACATGGTGAAACCCCGTTTCTACTAAAAATACAAAATTAGGCATGGTGGCAGGCGCCTGTAATCCCAGCTACTGGGGAGGCTGAGGCAGGAGAATCGCTTGAACCCAGGAGGTGGAGGTTACAGTGAGCAGAGATCGCACCATTACACTTCAGCCTGGGTGACACAGTGAGACTCCCTCTCAAAAAAAAAAAAAAAATAGGGCTGCATCTTAGCTATAAAAACGAGACTGGTTATTAGGCTAGTCTAATTTAATTTGCTTATTAAGTAAAAAATGTGAGATGTTAGAAAAATTATTAAATCTGGCCCATCTGATCACTGATGTACTGCCACTCTGTGGAAAATGGAAATTCAACGAAGAAGCATTGGGACAGATACTGACGGCAATAAAACCATTTCATGTTTTTGCCCCATTAAGTTGAGAGTCCAGAATAAACCAGTTATGGGAATATAAAGCAATAAGAAAAAGAGAGTTTTTTTCTTTCTTGGCTTTTCTTAAAATGCTTACTGACTTTCAAAATGGTTCACGTGAGATTGTAGCAGGCCAAATCTATTTATTGCCTTCACTATCTCATCCCCCATTTATTTTCTAAATGCCTGGTGTCTCGGTTCTATTCCCACCACGATTCTAAAGCTGTATTCTCGTAAGTCTTATCCACTTCTCAGGCATCTGGCTGTTTGGATCATCCATTAAATGTAAGTATTTTTCCCAAACTTGAATCTTCAGCCCAGGGTTCAGACAGCTCTCCTTGGGCAAAAGCATTCATCACCCTGGCCTCAAATATTACCTCGATGATGATGACCTGAAAAATCACCACCGCTGGGCATTATTTGTTTTGTTTAACAAGCTGAGCACTGACTCTGGTTCCACTCGGGAACCTTGTTTGAAACCATCTGCCGGGCATCTCACTTATTAAATGCGTTCATCCATCCATCACCTCTATTTCATTGTGAAAGGCCAGGTTCTCTTTTCGGAGTGCTTGAGATGGGAGAGTATAAACAAAAAAGGAGTTAAATCACTGCCTGATACAGAAACAGGAATGATCCATGGGAGTCTCAGAGGGGGACTGGGGCCCTGAAGAGGGCCTGTAGGGGGAAGGGAAGGGAGGGCTACGTGGCAATGTGATAGGAGACCAGGACCTACGTATGGAGAGACGTGGAAGTAAAGCGTTCTCTATGTGGGACATGGCCTGGACGTTAACGGGCTGATGATGTCGGGCGTTCACTTTGAAGTGTTTGCAAATTGTGTGGACATTCAGCGCTCCCTGAACTTCAGTGACACCAGCCTGGTGTTAGCAGCTGTTGGGGTCGCATCCTGTCATTTCCAGGAAAGCAAGTAGAGGCTGAAATAGAGCTGGGCGTGACGGTTTGGAGGAATGCAGAGAAGTCAGTGATTATGAGTAAGAAAACAAAGCCAGCTGGGTGCGGTGGCTCATTCCTGTAATCCCAGCACATTGAGAGGCCAAGGTGGGTAGACTGCATGAGCTCAGGAGTTTGGGACCAGCCTGGGCAATGTGGCGAAACCTCATCTCTAACAAAAATTACAAAAATTAGCTGGGAGTGCTGGCACACGCCTGTAGTCCCAGCTACTTGGGAGGCTGAGGTGGAAGGATCGCTTGAGCCTGGGAGGTCGAGGCTGCAGTGAGCCGTGTTTGTGCCATTGCACTCCAGCCTGGGCGACAGACCGAGACCCTCTCTCAACAACAACAACAACGAAAGCAAACCCCCTTGCTCCTGAATATGTTAAAGAAATAGGAGCAAGTGTTCTAGATGCTCCTATTATAACTACTTAAGGCATTTTATTTTGATGTTAAATAAAATAGTGACCTCCAGAAATTGGAGATCGGCTGGGCACGGTGGCTCACGCCTGTAATCACAGCACTTTGGGAGGCCGAGGCGGGCAGATCATGAGGTCAGGAGATCGAGACCATCTTGGCTAACACGGTGAAACCCCATCTCTACTAAAAATACAAAAAATTAGCCAGGCATGGTGGCGGGCGCCTGTGGTCCCAGCTGCTCAGGAGTCTGAGGCAGGAGAATGGCGTGAATCAGGAGGCAGAGCTTACAGTGAGCCGAGATCGCGCCACTGCACTCCAGACTGGGAAACAGAGTGAGACTCCGTCTCAAAAAAAAAAAAAAAAAAGAAGTTGGAGATCATGGAGATGCTTGAATTATATATTCATGTACATGGCCGGGCGCAGCGGCTCACGCCTGTTAACTCCAGCACTTAGGGAGGCCCAGGCAGGTGGATCACTTGAGGTCAGGAGTTCGAGACCAGCCTGGCTAACATGGTGAAACTCATCTCTACTAAAAATACAAAAATTAGCCAGGTGTGGTGGTGGGCACCTGTAATCCCAGCTACTCAGGAGGCTGAGGCATGAGAATCATTTGAACCCGGGAGGTGGAGGTTGCAGTGAGCAAAGATCATGCCACTGTACTCCAGCCTGGGCGATAGAGCGAGACTCAGTCTCAAAAAAAAAAAAAAAAAAAAAAAATTCGTGTGCGTGCCATTGCCCTGTGGCATTAGGTGCATAGTCTCCACATATGTGAGAGAACTCATGAGGTAAATGTGTTTACTATTACTAAGTGCTGGCTCCTCACCTTCCCTTTGGGCTCATCATCTTCTGTCTCAGGCCCCCGCCCCCGTCCTCTTCCTTAAGCTCTTTAAAAAGCCTAGACACCCTCTTTCTCACATTTCAGGTGTATAAATAATATCACCTTGTATCTTTATACCATTTCATAGCCTACAAAACTGATTCACGCACGTTTCATTCTCACGACAGCCTTGGAAGGTGTTGTTATTCCCATTGCACAGATGAGGAAACTGAGGCTCAAAAGGATTCAATGTTTTGCTCTGTCTCACTCATGTAGTGAGTGGCAGAGTGATCATTCTAGGTCTACTGCTGTCTGCTTTTCACCAGGGCTGTTCATGAGTTTCTGGTTGCCTGGTGTAGCAGTACCTTTTCCATGAGTTTGCTCTCTATAAAGCCCATTAGGGGACTTGTGCTCATATTGTTGACCATTTTCAAGGTTATTAAATTAGTATTGGGGAAAAGCACAACCTTTATGAGAGTTTAAGGAATTGTAATAAACATGAGCAATGTGGAAATCTCATTAGAAATGTGGAAATCTCACCTTATTAAATATTCATCTAAGTAGAGAGAACTGATAGATACGAAGAGGAAGGGCTACAGGGAGAATGATAGCAAAATAGAAGCTGTGTTTCCTAGCAAAAGGTTGAAAACTTCATAAAAATCCATCAAGATTTTGATGGAAAGCATCAAAATCTTTCTCAAGTGTCCATGAAGAATTACTAAATGCCAACTACAAAGTGCTGTTTTATGTGTATGAAAAGATTCGGTGCTTCCATGTATCAACAAAACCCCAAATAGAAGAATGCCATGGGCACAGCGGACATAGATTAAAGCATCATCTCTGCTGGAGACAGACAAAAGCCCTACATTCAAGCAAAACTCAGAAGCCACAAAGAGATCATGCCACGGGACGCATACTACACAGACGTCGTCATTTTGCACATCTTCATGTCATTCTTCAGTCTTCTTTGGAAGCCTTTAGCCAGAACTGTCACGAGTGACAAAGAGGAAAGTCGAGGCCGTGCAGGTGAGAGGCAGACCTGGCCACAGGATACAGGCTGCTCCTCTCTCTGACACCCCCAGGCCGAGCAGATGGGCCATCCTTGTAAACCGTGTGTTATGCTGGGGGAATAATTATTCTCAATGGGGTTTTTCCATGTGCCCATTTTCAAGCAACTATGTCAGGAGAGCAGGGATAATTGATACACAGACATAATTCCATAATCGGTTTGAGCTTCATCTTTCATCAGTCCGTTTCCAAAATCTACTAAAAATAACAAAATTAACTCTAATTTTCATTGACTTTCTGTTGTCCTTCCTCTCCCGGGAAGAAGTGTTTACGAGCTCCAAAGAGGAACAGGCCAGGTTAGAGTCAGCAATTGAACAGGCTAAGCAATTAAGATCTGACGCTAGCATGCAATATGACATATGAGCAAGAAGTCATCTAATTTAATAAGTGGAATTACAGAATGAAGAAGTCATTCTAGCTTACATTGCATTAAAAGTTGTTCTAAGAAAACACAAATGTTTGAAGTGTTTCTAAGAGGGCAAAATAATTCTTCATTTCATAAATGCATTTGCTAAAAGGTACCTTTCCGTAGTAAGTTCCTTTGGTACATTAATAAAATTCAGGTTACGGCTGGGCATGGTGGCTCACTCCTGTAATCCCAGCACTTTGGGAGGCTGAGGCAGGCGGATCACTTGAAGTCAGGAGTTCGAGACCAGCCTGGCCAACATAGTGAAACCGCGTCTCTACTAAAAATACAAAAATTAGCTGGGTATGGTGGCGGGCGCCTGTAATCCCAGCTACTTGGGAGGCTGAGGCAGGAGAATTGCTTGAACCCAGGAGGTGGAAGGTGCAGTGAGCTGAGATCATGCAATTGCACTCCAGCCTGGGCCACAGAGTGAGATTCCTTCTCAAAAAAACAAAACAAAACAAGACAGTGCTGGAATAACACACTATGATTTTTTTTAGCAAAATAGTTTTCAGTTAATTATTTGAAAAAAGCCATCAACATTGGATCAGGGGAAAAATATTTAAATATATTTTGTAAACATGTAGTCTTCCTTTTCTTGCCCATTGAAGAGATGTCGTAGGGCGGCGTTGGCCAGATATCTTTAAATAAGTGAAAAAGTATCTCGTAACTGAAACAGGAGGATGGGCATGCGCCAGGGTAATGTGACATTTCAGCACTAGCCTGACCACCCTCTCTGGGGTCTGATCACTATCCGCAGACAGCATTGTGTGCTATCTCGAAGGCCTTCCATTTCACCTGGGCTTGCTGCGGGTACTCTGGGGAAGGAGCCTTCTTGGCAGGCATTTCCAGATGGTTTTGTGATGACCCAGTTCTCACAATAGAAGCCATACTGGGAGAGAACAGAAGCTGAGAGGTTGACGTGGGAAGCCCAGGTTCCTTCAATCCTGCTGGAGCAGCTTCTGAATTTCAGAGAGGGGCAGAGCTGTGACCTGTCCTTCACCCCAAGGTTTGATTTGTTGGTTAGCACATTTGAGAAGGAAACAGGGCAGTTTGTCATGCTTTATTCGTGGGAGGCTCAGCGTGGAAACTTCTGATGCTGCTCACATTAAGGCTCTGAAGTCAATTACTGTTCATAAGGCTGTTGAGTTCTCTCTTTTTTCCTACATTAGTGGAAAAGGACCAGGAGGCTTGGCATATGTGAATTTCAGGGACACCTTGCAGCCGTAATAATGACTCCATTCCTTTGTTGCTAGTAAGTGGGAAAGCAGGAATTGAGCCCGTTTCCAGGTGTTGGGCTGCCTGAGAAACCCCTCACAGCCAAGTCCTACTCAAAAACGCTCAATGGCTTCCCAAATTCAGCCCCTCCAGTGCTGTATTCTTCTACCTGGCCCCCAAATGACCGCTGCCCTCTAGTCCCTTGCTGATTCTCTTGCTTTAATATTTGCAGTTCTGCTCTTTCCTGAGCACTTTCTGTACTTCCCGGTCCTGCGTCCTTGCTTGGGCTGTCCCCTGCCCTGGTAAAAATCTGGCTGGTCCTTGAAGCTCAGCTTTGACTTCACTTTTTTCAGGAAGGTTTTCAAGTATCCCCAACCATTTCCCATGTCTCCTTCTTTCTCTCTTTCTTAAAAAAAATGTTTTAAAGACAGGGACTCGTTCTGTCACCTAGGCTGGAGTGCAGTGGTGCAATCATAGCTCACTGCAGCCTTGACCTCCTGGGCTCAAGTGAACCTCTTCAGCCTCTTGAGTAGCTGGGATGACAAGTGCCCGCCCCTGCACTCAGCTGGTATTGGTCATCTATGTATGTACGCATGTAGGTATATATGCATGTATATGAGACAGGGTCTCACTTTCACCCAGGCTGGAGTGCAGTGGTGTGATCATAGCTCATTTCAGCCCCAAACTCCTGGGCTCAAATTATCTTCCCGCCTCAGCCTCCCAAGTAGTTGGGATGACAGGCATGCACCACCATGCCCAACTATGTTGCTCCCCAACGGGCCCACGGAAACTCAAGGAACATTCCAGATGGCCTAGAGAGCATCTGGAGTGTTCCATCTATGGTCTCAGAGAAGACAACACAACCCATGGGTCCCTGCAAGCACAGCACGTGGGCCCTATTCCCAGGGCAGTTCAATCTTAATTTTAGCCGGGTGGGGAAAATGTCAAAGTGCCCAGGGCCATCGTGACCTAGGGGCATGGCTGGTGGCCGGTCCACCCTGTTGAGATGACCAGCGCCACTCAGACCACTCAGCGGGGGACTGACTGGGGCAGCGGACAGCGCTGGCTGGAGGAGACGTTTCTCTGGGCAGTCCCCAGTCCTCCAGCTCTAATAGATGCACTTCTCACCTATTTTTAGAAATTTCCAGAAAAGGAGGTCTCACTCTTTTCTTGCATGGAGAATGGGAGAGAGCATGGGTTAGCGAAGGGTACGTCTGGGAAACTCTGGAAACTGTTTTTTGGGAGGGCCCTGAGGTGAAGAAGGCGTCCAAGAGGGCCGCTCCGTCCTGGTTCTGCAGGCGTCGGGCAGGAAAAGGGGGAAGGGACACTTCAGCTTGCTGCGGCCACTGAGGGCAGGTGATCGCGTGCAGAGGGTACCCTGGGCTTTCTGGATTCTGAGAAAAGCCCAGTGTCGAGGGTGGTGGGTGAGGAACGGGGTGGGGTGTTGCGGGGGGCAGGGGGGACGTCTCCCATTTCAGCACCAAGGTCTGAACTCTGTGGTTCCCAGAATCAAGGTATAAGTCACGTAGCTGGGGAAGGTTCCCAGAATGAGGCTACAAGTCACATAGCCAGGGAAGGAGGGGCTGGAAGACCCTGTGTTGGCCGCACGGAGTGGGGCCTCCGCGTGACGCGGCTGCATGAATACCTACCGCGTGTGGGGAGAGCCAGGAGGTCTCCGCACAGACCCCTGACCACACGCCACCCTTTCGGGAAGGTGCGCACCGCAGGTGATGAAACCTGCACGGGGCCTGGAGGGCCCTGCCTGCATCACAGATCCCGCCACGGCTGCCAAGGCGGGCTTTCTCCAACCCCCGGCATCCAGCCAGGGGAGGAAACAAGGACTTCGGTTTTGATGGCTGTGGGGGTGTCATTCTTTCCCTTTAATTCTGAGATGCGTTGAGAGTTGGCTGCAGGGGTTGGCGGCTCCTCCCCGTGTCTGGAGTTGCCCAGGAAATCCAGAAGTCACTCCTGGGGGCCTTGCAAGGTGCCCCACGCTGCGCAGCAGAGCCCGTTGCGCCCTCCAACATTGGACTCCAAGTTCTTCAGCTTCTAGACTCGGGCTCACACCAGCGATCTGCCGGGGGATCTCGGGCCTTCAGCCACAGACTGAAGGCTGCGCTGCGCTGTTGGCTTCCCTACTTTTGAGGTTTTGGGACTGGGACTGGCTTCCTTGCTCCTCAGCTTGCAGACGCCTGTTGTGGGACTTCACCTTGTGATCGTGTGAGTCAGCATCCTTAATATACTCCCCGTTGAATATATTTCTATCTTATTAGTTCTGTCCCTCTAGAGAACCCTAATACAAGAATTACTAGAATATATAAGATAGTTAGCAAGTTTTCTGGCAGAATCAATACACAATGTCAACTGTGTTTCTCTACACCAGCAACAAACAGAAATTCAGTTTTATGTAAAGAAATAAAAAAAAAGTAACAATGACAAAAAATAGGGTACTAAGGATACATCTATAAAAGACTTTTATGGAGAAAGCTCAAACAGATACCATGTATATAAAAAGAAATACTTAATGTCATAAAGATGTCCGTTCTTAACTGACTTATAGTTTTAATGTAATTTCTTTTGAAGTTTCAATAAGAATTTTTTCTGAAATTGGACAAGACGAATCTCAAATTTAAAATAGAAGGGAAAAGTGCCAAGAATAATCTAGACAAAGGGTCCCCAACCCCTGGCACTGCTCTGTGGCCTGTTAGGAACAGAGCCTCACAGCATGGGGTGAGTGGCAGGTGACTGGGTGAAGCTTCATCTGTACTGACAGCCGCGCCTCATCACTCTCATTACCACCTGAGCTCTGCCTCCTGTCAGATCAGCAGTGGCATCAGATTCTCATAAGAGCAAGAGCCCTATTGTGAACTGTGCATGCCAGGGATCTAGGTTGCGTGCTCCTTAGGAGAATCTAATGCCTGATGATCTGTCACTGTCTCCCATCACCCGAGATGGGACCATGTAGTTGCAGGAAAACAAGCTCAGGGCTTCCACTGATTCTACACTATGGCGAGTTGTAGAATTATTTCCTCACATATTACAATGCAATAATAATAGAAATAAAGTGCACAATAAATGTAATGCACTGGAACCACCCCAAAACCATCCCCCACCCTCCTCTGTAGAAAAATTGTCTTCCATGAAACTGGTCCCTGGTGCCAAAAAGGTTGGGGACTGCTAGTCTAGACCTCTTCTTCCCCAAAGGAAATACTCAGGCAAGGGCCACACTCTGGAGAACAAGACTTATGACAGAACCGTAGTCAATTAAGGCTGTGGAATTAGCTGGGCAGTGTGGTGGCTCACACCTGTAATCCCAGCACTTTGGGAGGCCAAGGCGGGTGGATCACTTGAGGTTAGGAGTTCGAGACCAGCCTGGCCAATATAGCGAAACCCAGTCTCTACTCAAAATACAAAAATTAGTCAGGCATGGTGGCAGGTGCCTATATTCCCAGTTACTTGGGAAGGCAAGGCAGGAGAATCGCTGGAACCTGGGAGGCGGAGGTTGCAGTGAGCCAAGATTGTGCCATTGCACTCCAGCCTAGGCGACAGAGCTTCTGTTCATCAAAAAGTGCGTAAAGAGCATGTATACATATGTAACAAACCTGCATGTTGTGCACATGTACCCTAAAACTTAAAGTATAATAAAAAAGAAAGCGCGTAAAGAGGGCAAAAAGACTAGGCATGAACTTGGAGAAGATATTCTCAATACACATACCCGTCAGTGGGTTAGTACCTAGGATATATGAACTCCTAAAAAGTAACGCAAAAGTCTCAAACAACATGCGCAGGCATTTCTAAGAAGGAACACGAGTGACTCATAAACAAATGAAAATACCATCTATGATCAGCGTCATCAATAATCGGAGAAACGCAGCTTCAAACCACCATGAGATATCTTTCACCTCCACCCAGTTGGCAAAAAATGGAAGAATCACTTGGAGAAGGTGCGGAGCCGCTGGAACGTGCGTGGATTGCTGGAGGGAGATGGCTCAGTTTGGCTTAGCTGCTACAATAAAGCACCTCGGACTGCATGGCTTAAACAATAAATATGCGTCGTCTCACAGTTCTGGAAGCTAAGAAATCTGAGATGAAGGTGTTGGCAGCGTTGGCTTCTCCTGAGGCCTCTCTCCTTCTGCAGTTGGCTGCCTTCGCCCTGTGACTTCCCGTGGCCTTCCCTCTGTGTCTGTGTCCTTTTAGAAGGACACTCATCCTATTGGCTTAGGCACCCTAAGACCTCACTTTAACTTAATGACCTTTTTATTAGGTTGGTGCAAAAGTAATTGCAGTTTTTGACATTTTAAATGGCAATTACTTTTGCACCAACCCAATATTTTAGTATTTATTTATTTTTAAATGTTATTCTATTTATTTATTTAATTTTTTTTTATTTCAATAGCTTTTGGAATACAAGTGGTTTCTGGTCACACAGATGAATTGTGTAGTGGTGAAGTCTGAGATCTTAGTGCACCCATCACCTGAGGGGCATACATTGTACCCAATATATAGTTTGTTCACCCACCTTGCACCCTCCCTCCTTCTGAGTCTCCAGTGTCCACTGTCCTACTCCACAGGCCTTTGTGTACCCATGGCTTAGCTCCCACTTCTAAGTGAGAATGTGCAGTATTTGCTTTTCATTCCTGAGTTACTTCACTCAGGATAATGGGCTCCAGCTCCATCCAAGTTGCTGCAAAAGACAAAATTTCATTTTCATGGCTGGGTAGTATTCCACGGTGTTTGTATACCACATTTTATTTATCCACTCATCGGCTGATGGGCACTTCAGTTGGTTCCATATCTCTGCATCAATTACCTCTTTAAAGACATCTCTAACCGGGAGCTGTATTCCCAGTACTTTGGGAGGCCGAGGCGGGTGGATCACCTGAAGTATGGAGCTCGAGACCAGCCTGACCAACATGGTGAAACCCCGTCTCTACTAAAAATACAAAATTAGCCAGGCATGGTGGCACATGCCTGTAAACCCAGCTACTTGGGAGACTGAGGCAGGAGAATGGCTTGAACCTGGGAGGCAGAAGTTATAGTGAGCAAAGATCACGCCATTGCACACCAGCCTGTCGACAAGAGCGAAACTCTTCTCAAAAAAAAAAAAAAAAAAAAGATGTATCATCTCCAAATATGGTCACATCCCGAGGTCCGAGGGGGTGAGGGTTTCAACATATGACTTTTGGGGAGACTAATTCCACCCACAAGAGGAGGATACATTTGTACTGTCACTTTGGACTTTTGGGCATTAGCTATAAAACTGAGCCCTAGCAATTCCATTCCCACAGAAGTCTTGCCTTGTGGACCAGGACACATTCAAACAATGTTTATGGCACTATTATTTGTAATAATAAGGGGGAAAAGCTAGAAAAGGGAACAGATAAATAAACTGACTTATATTCATAAATAGAATACTACAGGAGTGGAAATGAACCACAGCTGCATGCTTCAATATGCGTGAAACATAATTCTCGAAAACGTAAGAATTGATTGTATATAGAAGTTAGAGAAAGATGAACACAATATCATTCCAATTATAGAAAGTTCAAAAATAGGCAAGACCAGCCGGGCGCGGTGGCTCACGCCTGTAATCCCAGCACTTTGGGAGGCCGAGGTGGGCAGATCACAAGGTCAGGAGATTGAGACCACCCTGGCTAACACGGTGAAACCCCGTCTCTACTAAAAATACGAAAAAAATTAGCCGGGTGTGGTGGCGGGTGCCTGTAGTCCCAGCTATTCGGGAGGCTGAGGCAGGAGAATGGCGTGAACCCAGGAGGCGGAGCCTGCAGTGAACCCAGATTGTGCCACTGCACTCCAGCCTGGGCGACAGAGCGAGACTCTGTCTCAAAAAAAAAAAATAGGCAAGACTAAGAGCTGGGCATGGTGTGCACGACTATAGTCCCAGCTACTCAGGAGGCTGAGGTGGGAGGATCACTTGAGCCCAGGAGTTCGAGTTTAACCTGGGCAGAGTGAGACCCTGTCTCTAAATAAAAAAGGTCGGGCTCGGTGGCTCACATTGTAATCCCAGCACTTTGGGAGGCTGAGGCAGGCAGATCACGAAATTAGGAGTTTGATACCAGTCTGGCCAACATAGCGAAACCCTGTCTCTACTAAAAATACAAAAAATTAGCCAGGCATGGTAGCAGGCATCTGTAATTCCAGCTACTTGGGAGGCTGAGGCGGGAGAATCGCTTGAACCCGGGAGGTGGAGGCTGCAGTGAGCCGAAATCGCGCCCCTGCACTCCAGCCTGGGCGACAGTGCAAGTCTCCATCTCAAAAAAAAAAAAAAAAAAAAAAAAGCAAGACTAAGTTCCTGTAGGCAGTCGGATGTACAATGTAGATTTCAGGGAACACCCGTCAGTGTTTAGAGTAGCTTTGGTCAGCTTTACCATGGATTATCCTATCAGTGACTGGCGGAAAAGAAGAAAAATAATAAGGAAAGCGGATGAAAACTTTTATTACCGGGGTCTTTCCTACAATGCCCAAAACGTAGTGCCTCTAATACCTCAAAGGCAGCTGCCTCAAGTGGACTCATTTTGTATTTGATCAGGAAACCGTGCCACTGGGGGAGAGAAAATGGATGTGATGGAGACTCTGAGATGCACTCCTGGTGTGGCGCGACTCAAACGGACCTGCCACGCTGCTGGCTTCGGCGAGCCTGTGCACAGCCAAAAGCACAGACCTGGGCACACAGGGTGGTTGCATTGGATTTTGTCTTTCTTCTCCAAAGTCCTTTTAGTGCTATAGATTCCACCCTCTGCATCTGATGCCACTGTCCCTGCTGAGTGACTTGGGAGCTCATAAACACAGCAGTAGCATTGGGAGAGATGATGATAGTCTCGCGCCTGTGACTGTGGAATGTGAGAGTTGCCAGCCTGGGTGCTTGGTAACCCTGGTAACCTAGGTCTTTCCATCCTCTTGCTCCAGGCAGCATAAGCACATTAAGCACGAGGCCAGCCAGGCGAGGTGGCGCATGCCTGTGATCCCAGCACTTTGGGAGGCCGAGGTGGGGGCGGGCCGATTGCTTGAGCCCAGGAGTTGGCGACCAGCCTGGGCAACACAGAGAAACCCCGTCTCTACAAAAAATACAAAAATTAGCCGGGCATGGTGGCGCATGCCTGTAGTCCCAGCTACAGGGAGGCTGAGGTGGGAGGATCACTTGACCCAGGAGGTCGAGGCTGAAAGGTCCCGTTGGCCACTGGGCCCTGCTACCTTAGCCCCCTGGGGCTGCTTCTTGGTAAAATGCTTTAATTTCAAAATGAACACCAAACACAAATGTTTTAGGAGTTCAAATAAAAATGCTCGCTTATCCTGGGTGAATTCCTTCTCCACTTTCCAAGAGAGAGAGCATAAGGAAGGGGCCCAAGAGAGCTTCAATAACTCCTCCGCGATCTCTGAGGGCCCTTCCTATGCAGGGATTAAGGGTTCCCTGGAGGCGCACAGGAAACATCCCCTGTAGTTTTGCATTCAAATTAGCTAATGAGATAAGCCTCCTGCTTCAGCTTCCTGTCTTTGGTTATAATTGGTCTTGCAGCCTTGTTAATCATTTCCTGCAGTTTTTCCTTCTTTGGCTATGATAAATATGAATGCCTTTAATCTGCCATTCCTTCTTTGGGCCTGGGATTCTGTTAGGAGTGACATTTTCTTGTTTTCTAGTCAGCCTTTCTTAGTGTGGAACCATTTTGTTTTCTTTTAGTTTTTGAGACAGAGTCTTGCTCTGCCACCCAGGCTGGAGTGCAGTGGCGTGATCTCAGCTCACTGCAACCTCCGTCTCCCAGATTCAAGTGATTCTCCTGCCTCAGCCTCCCAAGTAGCTGGGATTACAGGCTCCCACCACCACGCCCGGCTAATTTTTTGTATTTTTAGTAGAGATGGGTTTCACCATGTTGGCTAGGCTGGTCTCAAACTCCTGTTCTCAAGTGATCCGTCCGCCTCGGCCTCCCAAAATGCTGGGATTACAGGTATGAGCCACTGTGCCCAGCTCATTTTTGTTTTCTAAAACACATTTGTAGGTCTAGTTTTTTTGTTTTGTTTTGTTTTGTTTGAGACAGTGTCTTGCTTTGTTGTCCAGGCTGGAGTGCAGTGGCGCAATCTTGGCTTACTGCAGCCTTGAACTCCTGAGCTCAAGTGATCCCCCTACGTCACCCTCCCGAGTAGCTGGGACTATAGGCATGCACCAGCACCACCCGACTACTTTTTAAATTTTGTATTTTTTATAGAGGCAGGTTCTTGATATGTGGCTCAGTCCAGTCTCGAACTCCTAGGGTCAAGTGATCCTCCTGCTTCGGCCTCCCAAAGTGCTGCGATTACAGGCGTGAGCTACCATGCTCAGCCCTAGGTCTAGTTTTTAATCCAAACATTCACTTTTCTTCCTCCAACTGTTCTAAAAAGAATGAGAAGCCTGCTAGCAGAGCCGAATCCTACAATCCAAAGCTCCCTGTGGTCTCTTTTTCTGTGTTTGCTCTTGAGAGCACAGGCAGTTTGGGGGAAGGGGTGGGAGTGGCTAGGCCTTGCTGCTGATTGGCTGGGGTGGAGATGAAATCATAGGGGTCAAAGTTGTCCTCCCACCTGGACCTCCCAAAGTGCTGGGATTACAGGAATGAGCCACTATACTTGGCCTCACCTCTTCCTTATTGTACAGATGCAAAAACTGATTTCTCAGGATGGTAGATGGTCTGCCCAAAGTCACATAGCATCATAGTGGCAGTGCTAGGACCAAACCCCACGTCTTTGGGTTCTCCATCCAGTATTCCTTTCACTCTCTACCTTCAACCAACAAGATGCCGTCTAGCCCTCCAGAACATTCCGTACCTCAAATTCTCTTTTGTAGGATGCACCTATTTATTTTCTCTAACGGAAGCGATTTCATTCCAAGTGTTTAAGTACCTAACTCATGTTTAGTAGTTGGAAAAGAACCTTCCAAACCATTCGCAGGGTCTGTATGTATTCACTGGAGGAATCTCATCCTTCCCCACCCACAGAGAACACATTTGTGCCAATCACATGCTGCAGGCATTGCACTCAGTTATGGCTATGTGTTCCCGCCCCTCATTTCCCCCAGGATTTCAGAGGCCTTGAAGACAAGGATCTTCTATGCTTTTCTCTCTGCGGGGATCTAGCACAAAGGCCTTGGAGAATGGTGGATGTTCGTGGAAGGATTATCGCTAATTACAAATTGCAGTACAGTTTTAAGACAATGTCCCGGTGCCGCTCCTGTGGGCCACGGTTCATAAGCTCAAAAGCCTTCCAGGGCCGGGCAAGTAACGTACATTAAAGACACAAGACAAGGGTAGGGCCAGAGGGGTGGTGGAAGCAGTGGAAAACTGGGAAGTTCGTGACTCATCACATTAAAAAATGTAGAAAGCCCACCAGGTGCAGTGGCTCACGCCTGTGACCCCAGTGCTTTGGGAGGCCAAGGAAGGAGGATCGCTTAAGCCCTGGAGTTCCAGACCAGCTTGGGCAACATAGTGAGACCCCGTGTCTACAGATTTTTTAAAAAAAATTAGCTGGGCATGGTAGTGCATGTCTGTAGTCCCAGCTACTCTGGAGGCTGAGGTGGGAGGATCACTTGAGCCCCGGAGGTTGAGGCTGCAGTGAGCTATGATCATGCCACTGCACTCCAGCCTGGGTGACAGCGTCAGACCTCTCCACCCTAAAATTAAAAAAAAAAAAACTCCTTTAGCAGCCAAATATCCAGCTATGGAGGCATGAAAATGTTGGCAAGTCCTTCCCCCTTCCCCAAAAAGACTAGGATCAAATTGGAAAAAAAAAAAAAAAGTCAAAAACAACCATTTCAGAGTTTTGGAGACTGGCCAGAAGCAGAAAAGAAATTGAGAAGCATTTACTCATGAAAACAAGCTTGAGCTTCAGACAGCGGCAGCAGGAGTCTGCAGCCTTTGCTCTGCTCTGTTCCTAGCCCCTCCCTCTTCCCCAGTTCTGGCAATGGTTTTATTAGCAAGGGGCTGACCGGAAAAAAATATCAACTTTGCTGCTGAAGGGGGCACATTGATTTGGGGCACAGTGTTGACAGTAAAATAGAGGACTCAGTAGGAAACAAGTGGGAGGAACCCACAGCTCTGGGAGTCTGAGGATGTGCTCTTGGTGGGGTCAGTGGTGGGCCAGCCATACATTTAACACAAACTCCTGGGATGAAGGAGCCTCCAGGGGACCGAGGTGGGCTCTCCCCCATCCCTGTGTGCTGGTACAGTCACAATGGTGGTGGTTAGGGCTGTTAAATAACTTAATTCCAAACATTCAAACTAGTTTTGAAGTTCAGCCTCTTTTTTTTTTTTTTTTTTTTTGGATACAGTGTCTCATTCTGTTGCCCAGGCTGGATTGCAGTGGTAAGATCATAGCTCACTGAAACCTCCAACTCCTGGGCTCAAGCAATCCTCCTGCCTTGGCCTCCCCAGTAGGTGGAACCAGAGGCATGCCACCACACCCGGCTAATTTTTTTGCAGAGATGGGCTCTTGCTATGTTGCCCAGGCTGGTCTCAAACTCCTGGGCTCAAGTGATCCTACCCCCTCAGCCTCCCAAATGATTGAGATTACAGGTGTGGGCCACCTTGCCTGGCCTCAGGCTCTTTTCTTCAGTTCACTGAGCCATGGTAGAGATGGATAGGAGCCCATCACCTGAGTACCAAATTATTTCCCTGAAATACCCTTGAGCAACTCTCAGTCATGGCCTGATCCCACCTACACTCATCACTGAACTTCAGTTTGGTGTGATCTGTTGAGTACATATGTGTGCGTCTGTGTATGCTTATGTGGGTGCCTGTGCATGTACATATGTGTGTGCGTATGTGGGCACGTACGTGGGTGCCTATGTGTGCACATATTTGTGCGTGTATGTGTGTGCGTGAGTGTGCGTGTGTGGGTGCGTATGTGTGTGTGTGGGTGTGCGTGTGTGGGTGAGCATGTGGGTGCGCCTGTGAGGGCACGTGTGGGTGCGCGTGTGGGTGCATGTGTGGGTGTGTGGGTGCGCGTGTGGGTGTGTGGGTGCGTGTGTGGGTGTGTGTGTGGGTGCATCTGTGAGTGCGTCTGTGGTGCGTGTGTGTGTGTGGGTGCACGTGTGTGTGGGTGCACGTGTGGGTGCGTGTGTGGGGTGCGTGTGTGGGAGGGAGTTCTCTGCCAAGTTTAATCTGATTTCATGACTAGATGAGTGATCTGCCTTGGAAGCTGAGAGACTGAGCATTTTACTGCCTTGCTAACCCTCAGTCCTACACAAACACAATGATGACAGACCTGTAGAACTGGCTACATAATTTGTGCGGCCCAGTGCAAAATGAAAATGCTGAGCCTCTTGTTCAAAATTAATTACTGGCCGGGTGCAGTGTGGCACATGCCTGTAGACCCAGCACTTTGGGAGGCCAAGGCAGAAGGATCACCTGAGGCCAGGAGTTCGAGCCCAGCCTGGGCAACATGTTGAGACCCCATCTCCACAAAAACCAAATAACTAGCCAGGCGTGGTGGTACATGCCTGTATTCCCAGCTACAGGCTGGGACAGGAGAATAGTTTGAGCCTGGGAGGTCGAGGCTGGAGTGAGCTGTGATTACGCCACTGCACTCCAGCCTGGGTATCAAGCAAGACCCTGTCTTTAAAAACAAACAAAATAATTGATTACTTCAAGATGGCAACAGCAGACCATTAAACCAAGCTTGAGGCCCTGTGACTGCATGGGTCACAAGCCCCTGAAACCGGCCCTCAGAACCTGCTAGTGCCCCTGCAGGGCTAAGACTGAAGAGGACCTCTCTTGGTTAATTATTACCCCCCTCCTAGATGACTAACGAGTCTTCATTAACCTCTAGTTATCATGAAGCCTTTTCTCAACTGGCTTTGCCAGAGACGTCCTTGGTGATCTCAGGAAGCTCTGACTTCAGGCTCTGCCATTATTCTTTTTTTTTTATTTTTGAGTTGGAGTCTTGCTCTTGTCACCCAGGCTGGAGTGCAGTGGCGCGATCTCCGCTCACTACAACCTCCGCCTCTGGGGTTCAAGCAGATTCTCCTGCCTCAGCCTCCCGAGTAGCTGGGACTACAGGCGCCCACCACTATGCCCAGCTAATTTTTTTGTATTTTTAGTAAAGACAGGGTTTCACCATATTGGCCAGGCCAGGAGTCTCGAACTCCACCTGCCTCAGCCTGCCAAAGTGCTGCTGCCATTATTCTTGTTAGTTTGCCCAGTGCTGGGAAGGGACAGGGGAGGCTTGGCTCAGGGGTCACAGTTCATGCGCTCTGGCACCGCTTCCCCCACCTGGCTCCTCTCAGAGGCTCACAGCTTTCTTGGCCCCTGCTGGTTGTAGGACAGTGGTCAGTGACACCTCTGGAATGTTATCATTCCGGCAGCGGGAGGGAGAATGACTCTCAGGCACACCCATCAAAGCATGCAGGAATTCCTGGTGCGTGTATCTTTAGTCAGAAGCCCCTTGCGTTTCCTCTTGAGCTCATCCTTGTTGGCCTAGTGGGCTCTGGAGTGTGGACGGAGGTGACTCAGCTGGGTGGTGCCGGGTGCCAGCCCTTCACTGCTCCTGGGAGCCCCGGCCTGTCCCTGCAGCCTCCCTGATCCTGGTATCAGACAGACCCACGGACACCATCGGCCCAGCCTGCCTTCCTCTTCTCATCCTGGTTCCCATGTTTGCTGGTTTCTGATCAACACAAGTGGTGGGGATTTGTACCAAGCCTTGGGGTTGTGAAAGGAAAATAAATCTTGGACCCACAATCACTAAGCCAAAGGGCAAAGTCAAGCTGGGAACTGCAGTCAGGCAGACCTGCCTCTCATTTTATTCCTAAAGAAGGTAGCTGCAAAAGAAAAGAAAAGAAAAGAAAAGAAAAGAAAAGAAAAGAAAAGAAAAGAAAAGAAAAGAAAAAAAAGCTACACACCTGTAGGGACCAGCCCCACAGCGTTGGTGGGTCTCTCCCTGTGTGCAGCGACGAGAGAGTGTAGAAATAAAGACACAAGACAAAGAGATAAAAGAAAAGACAGCTGGGCCCGGGGGACCACTACTACCAATGCACGGAGCCCAGTAGTGGCCCCGAATGTCTGGCTGCACTGTTATTTATTGGATACAAGGCAGAAGGGGCAGGGTAAAGAGTGTGAGTCATCTCCAATGATAGGTAAGGTCATGTGGGTCACGTGTCCACTGGACAGGGGGCCCTTCCCTGCCTGGCAGCCGAGGCAGAGAGGGAGAGGAGACAGAGAGAAAGACAGCTTACGCCATTATTTCTGCTTATTAGAGACTTTTAGTACTTTCACTAATTGACTACTGCTATCTAGAAGGCAGAGCCAGGTGTACAGGATGGAACATGAAGGCGGACTAGGAGCATGACCACCGAAGCACAGCATCACAGGGAGACGGTTAGGCCTCCGGATAACTGCAGGCGAGCCTGACTAATGTCAGGCCCTCCACAAAAGGTGGAGGAGCAGAGTCTTCTCTAAACTCCCCCGGGGAAAGGGAGACTCCCTTTCCCGGTCTGCTAAGTAGTGGGTGTTGTTCCTTGACACTTTTCGCTACCGCTAGACCACCGTCCGCTTGGCAACGGGCGTCTTCCCAGATGCTGGTGTTACCGCTAGACCAAGGAGCCCTCTGGTGGCCCTGTCCGGGCATAACAGAAGGCTCGCACTCTTGTCTTCTGGTCACTTCTCACTGTGTCCCCTCAGCTCCTATCTCTGTATGGCCTGGTTTTTCCTAGGTTATGACTGTAGAGCGAGGATTATTAAAATATTGGGATAAAGAGTAATTACTACAAACTAATGATTAATGATATTCATATATAATCATATCTAAGATCTACATCTGGTATAACTATTCTTGTTTTATATTTTATTATACTGGAACAGCTCGTGTCCTCGGTCTCTTGCCTTGGCGCCTGGGTGGCTTGCCGCCCACACATACCTCTCTCACAATTTGCCCACTAGAAATTCCCTGTGGCCCCTAGGTCTTTACCCTGAAAGAGTTGTTGCGTTTCACCCTGCTAATGTAAATGGATAGCTTATGTACACAGGTGTGGGACAAAGGACTGAACTCAAAGTCATCCCCCTGCTCACCTGAGACAAATGCATATCTGATTGCTTCCTCTGCCCTGTTTCTTTGATCACATCTCATGTAAAAATGCAGATTCACTGAGCTAGATGAATGCCTAACACTGTTCCTCTATCCCTCCTCACATGTGAACGGCCGACCAAAGACCCAAAAAAATGCAACCATTTACCTCTTGTCTACCCAACACTTTTTAAAAGTTCTTACTCTTTCCCCAATATACACCCGTTTTCCTTTAAATATATATATTTTGAGACAGTCTTGGTCTGTCACCCAGGCTGGAGTGCAGTAGCATGATCTCGGCTCACTGCCTCCTGGGTTCAAGCTATTCTCCCGCCCTAGCCTCCCAAGTAGCTGGGATTACAGGTGCCCGCCACCACGCACAGCTAATTTTTGAATTTTTAGTAGAGGCAGGGTTTCACCATGTTGGCCAGGTTGGTCTCGAACTCCTGACCTCAAGTGATCTGGCTGCCTCGATCTCCCAAAGTGCTGGGATTACACATGGGAGCCACCTCGCCCGGCCCCCTTTAAATATTGAAACCCTCAAAATCATCTTTGGGGAAAGGCACAGACCTGCTTCCTGAGCACGCGTCTATAACCTCAGTAAAACAAACATGCGAACGGATTGAGACCTGTCTCAGACACTTTTTCATTTACAGCCTGCACTCAGGGACTCGTGGACACTGGGGTGGTTCGTTCCCCCTTCCCCAGGTTCCCAAGAAGTCACCAGCAGGTGAGCAGCACTTGCTTTATTCCTGGATGAAGGGTCCTCCCTCTAACCCTTCTCAGTGGATCACCAAGATGCACCCTGACCCCAAGGGGCAAACCCCCTTCCTTCTGAGGAGTTAGGTAATATGGCGGGGGGTGGGTGCTATGGAGTCTCTAGGGGTATATGTGGTACACACAATACCAAACCACCACTTCAAGGGGCAATTCTCTGCTGCTGTCTCTGAGCCACAGAGGTGACCTTGAACTTCGAGGAGCCCAAGACAACAAATGCGGTAGTGAGGACCTGAGAGCCATAGGGATACCTGGGTTGGGGGTTAACAGACCTGGATTCTGGTTCTACGTGGTAAGCAGAGTAATGGTCCCCTGAAGATGCCGGTGTCCTAATTCTCAAAACCTGTGCGTAGGTTGACTCACGTGGGCAAAGGATCTCTGCACATGTGATTAAGTGAAGGCTCGTTAGCTGGGGTACTGCCTGGATTCGCCAGGTGAGTTCAATGGAATCACTAGCACCTTTGCAAGAGGGAGGCGAAGAGCCAGAGAACAAGAGGCTGTGAGTGATCAGAGTGCTGGCTGGGACCACAGGTCAAAACCACCTGGGAAGCGGCAGGAAGCTGGAAGAGGTGAGGAAATAGGTTCTCCCCTCGAGCTTCCAGAAGGAATGCAGCCCCGCCAACACCTTGATTTTAGCCCATTTGGAGACCCATTTTGGATTTCTTTTTTTTTGAGATGAGGTCTCATTCTGTTGCCCAGGCTAGAGTGCAGTGGTACAATCACAGCTCACTGCATCCTTGACCTCCTGGGCTCAAGTGATCTTCCCATCTCAGCCTCCCAAGTAGCTGGGACCATAGGCGTGCACCACCATACCTGCCTAATTTTTTATAAAGCTGGAGTCTATGTTGGTCATGCTGGTCTCGAACTCCTGACCTCAAGTGATCTGCCCAGCTTGGCCTCCCAAAGTGCTGGGACTGCAGGCATGAGCCACTGAGCCTGGCCCCATTTTGGGCTTCTGACCTCCAAAGCTGTAAGGTACCGCATCTGAGTTGTCGGAAGCCACTGCATGTGTGGTAATTTGTTGCAAGAACCCTGGGAAGCTAATGGGTCCTACCTCTGACATGGATGAGCTATGTGACCCTGGGCAGGTCATTCTTCTTGGCCTAAGATACTCCTCTTTATTCTGGAAAGTGCCACACACAGTGGCTTTCACATTTTTCCTTCTTTTGAAACAGGGTCTCATCCCCATTGCCCAGGCTGGAGCGCAGTAGCACAATCATAGCTCACCGCAGCCTCTAATTCCCGGGCTCAAGCCATCCTCTTGCCTCACTTTTTGATTTTTTGTAGAGACAAGGTCTCATTATGTTGCCCAGGCTGGTCTTGAAGTCCTGGGCTCAAGTGATCCTCCCACCTCGGCCTCCCAGAGTGCTGGGATTACAGGAGTGAGCCACTGGACTTGGTTGGCTTTCAAATATTTAAAAAAATTTAAAGCAGCAGGATGCTTTCATCAGTTGAAATCACTTGTGGAAGTCCAACGTGAAACAGCAAAGGGGACGCTCATTGGTGAAGCTGGGGATCCGCTGCCCAGCAGAGCAGGCAGGGGTGGCACTGGCGGAGGCGGGGCTGGGTTCCCAGGCTAGTGGTACCAACTTTCTTTTTGAGAGGGAAGTGCCCGCTTTTGAGAGGGATGGCAGGCATGGCGTATTTGATTGGTTGGCACCTTCTGACCCGAAAAGAGTTCACTGGAACTGAGTAGAATTTAATCTGCTGTTCTTAGGAATGAGGCTTTATTGGTGCATTTTATTTGGGGTGTTCTGTACAACTCCTAGGAATGGACCTCATCTTCAAGACATTTCTGTTGCTGCCAGGATCTTAATGTCTCTTCGCCTCTGGGAGCTTAAGCAAGAAGTTAGTGTTCCTGACTCTAGTGAACAGCCAGGAGTACCGCAAGCTGGTTTTAACATCTAGCAAGATCCAGATGTTATTGAAATTGACTTTCATAGCCTCCTTGAGACCTCAAAGTGTCCTTGGTGAAGGTCCTCTTTGCATGGACTTTTCATTTTGATTTTCTCCTGTTGCTCTTGAAGTCTAGCCAGGGTGCAAACTCACGGATCTCTACACAGCTCTGAGTTCAGATGTCTGAAGCTGGGGACATCCTAAGACATCCTGCTCACATCATCCAAGGGTAAAATAAGGAGGGTGGCAGATGCCCAGATTTTTTTATTGACACTAAAATTATCTGGGAGGATGCCAAGGGTAACATCAACCCAGCCTGCCTGAGAAATCAAAGCATCATTTAAAAAAACAAGCTCAATGGGCTAGGATCGCTACTCCCTTATTAAAAGCAACTTTAGGACTAGACAAAACAAACTCAGAACTGGAGGAGGATTATTAAATGTGAATTTGTGCTGTACAGGAAGGTTTTTTTTTCCTTGTTCATGTCATGAAGGATTGCAGAGAGCAAAATGAAAGCATATGTATATGCGTGTGTGTGTGTGTATATATATATATATATTTTTTTTTTTTTTTCTCCTTAGTGTTGATATACTAAGCATCAAGGAGGGCCTTGTTAAAAATGCAAATTCCTGTATTTCTCCAAACCCAGAGATTCTACTGCAGCAAAGCGGGCCTGAGACATTCCAGGTGGTTCTAATATGAATGGTTCCAGAGAGAAATTTTGACAGGCACTGAGGCTTGTATTTGAGCTGCCAAAGTGAAGACAGGAGTATTCCAGGGACTTAATGCTTCTTTTTATTTTCTGCAACGCCTTCCCTCCACAAAGTTTTATGAGGTGAATACATAATCATTCTCTCATCACAACAAAAGTAATTATTGTTAATGTGTAGTGTTATGTGGCGTTAGCTCTCAACATATTGTAATCCAATTAAATCATTTATTTCTGAAATTAACAAGCCCTCTGTTTTCTCTGCCCATATCCAATTCCTTGAGGAGGGCTGGGCATGATGGCTAATGCCTGTAATCCCAACACTTTGGGAGGCGGAGGTGGGAGGGTTGCTTACATTCAAAAGTTTGAGACCACCGTGGGCAATATAGTAAAATCCTGTCTCTACAAAAAGTCAAAAAAAAAAAAAAATTAGCCAGGTGTGGTGGCATGTGTTTGTAGTCCTAGCTACTCAGGAGACTGAGGTGGGGGGATCATTTGGGTCTTGGAGGTTGAGGCTGCAGGGAGCTGTGATCATGCCACTGTACTCCAGCCTGGGCAACAGAGCCAGACTATCTCCAAAACAAATGAATGAATAAAAATAAAAATTGCTTGAGGAGTCACAGGTTCACATATTTCCCCGATGCCAACATAGGTGAGGTTGAGAGAACAGTCGGATTTCTTCGCTTGTCCTTCGACTATTCCAGAGCCTCTCCTTCCCATGGCTCCTTCCCGCAGCCCACCCTATGCAGGGCTGCCAGGACTTGGCCACGGGTGCACCAGGCTGCATGGGACACATTCTGAGTTTGCCGCAAGTGGCTTACGTCCTGGTACTAAGCCTTGGTCTCTCCACGCTTACACCCCGTGTCCCCATTGCTCACCCTCTCCAGCCTGGAAGCTCTGTTTGCTCTGCGCCTTCTCCGATTCCTCTCGCTGTCGGCCCCCGGGTCTGGGTGGGGGGGCTCCATGTTGCTGGGCTACATGGAGGGGAGCGGCTGGTGTTGCAGAGCTGACTCTCTGGGCAAAGGCCCTGGGCTCACGGCATTCCCTCCTCTGAGCAGGTGCAGCTCTGTGCCAGGGTGCGAGCTCGGCTGGAGTGGCAGGTGGGACCTGTCTCTGTGTCTCTGTATCCCTCTGTCTCTGTCTCTCAGAGCCAGGTGCACCTGGGCAGGGCAAACGTCACACTGCCCCAGCCTTGCTGCCTCCCAGTGCTGTCCATGCACCCAGCCTCTTTCTCTGCAGTCTTTCTTACATTCTGTTGGAATAACTAATCGGGGGGCTGAGACTGAGGCTGCAGCAGGGCCCTGGGTTCCTATGTCAGCAAACCCAAACCCAACTCAGCTTTCGGGGCTATACTTTAGGCCCATCAGAAGCTGCCTGCTGCCCCGTAACTAGGGACCGAGCGCTGGGACGCTTGTATAAGGCTCTGCTCTGCTGTGATTGATCAATGTACTCTGCTTCTGCGTTCACCTCTGGGAGCCTGCCCTGCGCGCTCCTTCCTCAGACCTCAAACCACTTGCCATCTGGGGCTGCCCGATTCATGAATCACTGTTTGCTCAAATAATCTGTTTAATATTTTCATGGGCCTCAGTTTACCTTCTGGCAGTTCCCATGCTAATTCTGGGCTTGATCCACCTTCCTGGTAGGATAGAAACTCCCTTCTTCCCTGAGGATGGGCTCCCTGTGCAGCCCTTCAGCAAGGAGAAGGTGTTTTCTTCCCCACCTTGGAGTCCAGGAAAAGGGAACTGGGGTTCTCCCGTCTTCTTCATGATCACTTCCAAAGCATTCCTTTTATTTTTTGTTATTTTTTATTGTTTTGAGATGGAGTCTCACTCTCACCCAGGCTGGAGAGCAGTGGCGCCATCCTGGAGTCTTGCTTTGTCATTCCTTCTATTAAAAAATAATTGAACATCTTTCTTTGTAACATGTAGCTTCGGCATATGATGAGATGCAGGAGGTCTCTGTCTTCCTCCTCTGCCTTCTAACTGCATGATGCTTCCTGCTTCCCCGCAAGATTCTTCCACCTGCTCAGCTGTTCTTTCTTTTTTTCTTCTTTTTGAGACAGAGTCTTGCTCTGTCGCCCAGGCTGGAGTGCAGTGGCGCGATCTGGGCTCACTGCAACCTCCTCCTCCCAGGTTCAAGCGATTCTCCTGCCTCAGCCTCCTGAGTAACTGGAATTACAGGCATGCGCCACCACACCCAGCTAATTTTTGTGTTTTTAGTAGAGATGGGGTTTCACCATGTTGGTCAGGCTGGTCTCGAACTCCTGACTTCGTGATCCACCCACCTCGGCCTCCAAAATTGCTGGGATTACAGATGTGAGCCACCGCACCTGGCCTATCAGCTGTCCTCTTTCATGGGGACCCCATTCATTCTTTCCACTTCTGCTCCTGCCATAGTCCTAGGAGCCCATCTGTAAAGACAGTCCAGTTCATAACCCTGAACTCCTTATCCCCAATGACCTTCATGTCCACACCACTTTCCAGTCACACCCAGGATCCCACCATCTCCTACACCTTCTATTCCACCTGAGAAATTCAAACTACCACCATCCTACTCTGGTCCCATGGTTCTGTGATTCTGGCTGTCCCGGAACTACTAAGTGAAAAATGTGATAGGAGTGGGCCGGGCGCAGTGGCTCGCACCTGTAATCCCAGCACTTTGGGAGGCCAAGGTGGGTGGATCACCTGAGGTCAGGAGTTCAAGACCAGCCCGGCCAGCATGGCGAAACCCCATCTCTACTAAAAATACAAAAATTAGCTGGGCGTGGAGGCACATGCCTGTAGTCCCAGCTACTCAAGAAGCTGAGGCAGGAGAATCACTTTCCCTTGAACCCGGGAGACAGAGATTGCAGTGAGCCGAGATCGGAGATTGAGCCATTGCACTCCAGCCTAGGCAACAGAGTGAGACTCCATCTAAAAAAAAAAAAAAAGAAAAGAAAAAGAAGAAAAAAAGAAAAATGTGATGGGGTGACCAAATGATTTTACACTGGGCCACTAGGCAAGGGCTGTCCCAGATTAAATATCTGAGCTCTGAATGTCAAGAAATCATGAACGCGAACATCAGAAGGCAGAGGGTTTTCAGGCAAGAGGGAAGATGTGCTCAGGGAATAGAAATTCAAGATCCCACCAAACATAACGTAATTAGCACTATAATTTTGTGCCCTACCAAATACATTTTTAAGAAACCTTATTATTCATATCTTCACTCAATGGACTATTCAAAGTCAGAGTCAACTGTGGAGAGATACAGCTTAGCAGTAACACACGTGACTGAGGGATGTTAAGCTACTGAATGGAAGAGTCAGCGCAGATGACATTTCTTTCCTAGGCAATTAATTTGCCATCGAGGCTGGGCGTGGTGGCTCACGCCTGTAATCTCAGCACTTTGGGAGGCCAAGGTGGGAAGATCACCTGAGGTCAGGAGTTCAAGACCAGCCTGGCCAACATGGTGAAACACCGTCTCTACTGAAAATACAAAAAGTTATCGAGCCTTGGTGGTGTGCACCTGTAATCCCAGCTACTCAGGATGCTGAGGCAGGAGAATCACTTGAACCCTGGAGGGAGAGGATGCAGTGAGCCAAGATCACACCACTGCACTTCAGCCTGGGCAACAGAGCAAGACTCTGTCTCAAAAAACAAAACAAAAAAACCCTGCCATCTTTTCCAGGCAGGAATAATTCCTCTTCCTATTCTCAGGGTAAGAAAGAAGAAGAAAAAAACCAAACGCATCAAACTCAAACCAAGAAACTGAACCAAACTCCAAATATCCACCCAACCTCAAACAAATAACCACTGTTACTCACCAGTTCCAGCGATTAGAGGAGCAATGGCCATCAGGCTATCACGTCATTATATTCTGCAGTCACTGGAGCAAAAGATCAGTGAGGAGGTGAAGTTTAGGAAAGAAGACTCAAAGGACTCCACCCTTCCTCCTTGATTGTTTTTTTAGACCAGCCTTGCAATTAAAGGCTAAAAATACGCCATTGTTTGGCCAACTCACCTTCTATAGACTGAATTGTGTCCTGCCCCAAATTCATAAGTTGAAGCCGTGACCCCTCATGTGGCTGTGTTGGAAAGGGGGCCTTTCAGGAGATGGTTACGGTTAAATGAGGTCAAAAGAGTGGAACGTTGATCCCATAAAACTGGTATCCCTATAAGAAGAGGAAGAGCATCAATGAACTCTCTACCATGTGAGGACACAAGGAGAAGGTGGCCGTCTGCAAGCCTACGTGAGAGTCCTCACCAGAAGCCAACCATGTTGACACCTTGATCTTGGACTTCCAGCCTCTAGAACTGTGAGAAAATAAATGTCTGTTGTTCTAGTCACCCAGTCTATGGTATTTTGTTTTGACAGCCCAAGCTGACTAAGATGTCACCTCACCTTAGTTGTCACAGAGAGGCTGCAGTAAAATGAGGAAAGAAAGGAGCTTGATTTCTTCCCTCCCCTCCAAATCCGGTGTTGGAAAAGTAGCTGTGGTGGCTTAAGGATTTAACATAGAATTAAAAACAATTCTCCGTTTTTCATAATTTGGAATTAATGCATTATTTAAACCTAAAGTTTAGCAATATATTTAAATTTTTTCTTTTTTTTTTTTCATTTATACCTGGCCATTTGAATGTTTGATGAGTGAATAAACGAATATATGGAAATGATGCAATGGACCCTGTAACAGAGAAGACCTGTACTCTGCCGGTTTTCCCCTGGTGTTGAGGTTAACTCTATATTTAACCAACCAAGACCGGGCCTGTATGAAGCCTCACCCAAAAGGCGGTGCAGCACAAAGATGAGGGCTGAAGGGTGACTTCAGTGGGCTCTGGGAACCCTTGCCTTCAAGGGCTCCTTCCTCCGTTAAAAAAATTAAAAATGATCTTTTGACGACGGCATTCTTCTGATTGGAAAAGAAAGAAACATGAAAACGTCTTCACGAGCCCATGAAAGTTTCAGGAGCCCTGGGCACTGCGCCTCAGGGCCTGAGGGGAGGTCGGCCCAGGCAGAGGTCCGCTCCCTGCTTCTGGGGCCTGAGTCCTGCCTGAAATCATAGCAGGATCCGGCATCATGCGTTGCCTGTGAGATGTGCGGACAACCACTTAGTATCCTTAGCTATAAAAACGACAGAAATGCAGCAAAACGAACTCGAGAGAAAGCCTCCTTGTTAGCCAGAAACTTCTTTGAATGGGGGGAGACTTTACTAAGCTTCTGAAGATGGGATGTGCCGGAGGAACATGAAGGTGCCTTGTGGGCGGGGCAGGGTGGGCTGGATCTGAAGGAAGGTGCTAGAATTCCTCCGCCCCGCCCTGCCAGAGGCTGGGCGGAATTGGGGACGTTGAGAACAGAAATGTCCGAGGGAGAATCTTACTAAGAGGGCTCTCCTGTTCCAGGACACCCTGAGTCATACACTCATTGCTACCTTGAGCTTCCTGAGAGTCGAGTCTCGTCAGGGAAGCTTCCAGGTGCTGATTCTGCCCTGAGGTGGCCTTGGGTCTAGAACATATGTGATTGATTGCCTCTGAGTTTTGTAAGCAGCTCTTAACTCAGGGCTTGAGAACTCCCAAAAACAGCCCAAGGCGGGAATAAAGCGGGACTCCGGCATCACCTGCACGGCCTATGCAATGTGTAACAGTAAACTCACCTGCCGGGATAATCGTCTAGGACAGTGGTCTCACCTGCGGGGGAGCCTTTCTCTCTACGGGACTTTCGTCAATGTCCGGTGACAGTTGTGGCTGTCTCGGCTGGTGAGGGGAGAGGTCAGGGGCGCTGCTCAGCATCCTACCAGGCCTGGGACAGCCCCCACAACAAAAAACCATCTGGCCTAAAAGGTCCACGGGGCCAAGGTTGAGAAACCCTACCCTGGAGTCCAGGACAGAACCATCAGCGATTTCATAGCAGGCTATGAGGTCAGCCGGGTCTATTTCAAAAAATAAAATGCAAACAGTTACATAGGAACTTCTTTCTCTCCACTGCCTCAGCTGAACTGACATCTAGCTAACTTTGCTATGTAAGTTGCTAAACGAGCTACTTTTAGTTTCAGGGCTGAAAAGCCAGTATCATTTTCCAGTCAAAGGAACCAGCAGCAGGTTACACAGCTAACTTTTTTATCTAGAGATAAATACCCATTGCCCTCTGCTGGAGAATTTTATAACTGCTGCATTAAGTGTTGAGAAATAATTGTTTCAGGTCGTTCTAACTTAACAGAATGTCTGGGACCACTGACTTTTTCCTTTGAACATGTGATTGATTACAAGGGCGGGGAGTGTAGTGGCTTATGTGACCAATTTCCTTCTGTTGTGGTACCCTATACATTCAGAGGTTATTTGATAATGATTAGTTATTCCTGTTCCTTCTCTGTAAGCACAGAAGTCATGAAACAAGAGCAAAGCTTAATGAGAGAAACAACAGAAGCAGATCCTAGGGGGTGCTTTTTAGATTTTTGATTACTTAGGAATTATGGGCCACGGTGGGTGTGGTGGCTCACGCCTGTAATCCTAGCACTTTGGGAGGCCGAGGCAGGCAGATCACCTGTGGTCAGGAGTTCGAGCCCAGCCTGGCCAACATGGTGAAACCCGGTCTCTAGTAAAAATACAAAAATTAGCCGGGCGTGGTGGCGGGAGCCTGTAATCCCAGCTACTCGGGAGGCTGAGGCAGGAGAATCGCTTGAACCTGGGAGGCAGAGGTTTCAGTGAGCTGAGATTGCACCACTGCACTCCAGCCTGGGTGACAGAGCAAAACTCTGTCTTAAAAAAAAAAATTATAGACCAGGCACAGTGGACAGTGGCTCATGCCTGTAATCCAGCACCCTTGGGAGGCTGAGGTGGGAGGATTGTTTGAGGCCACCCCAGGATACAAAGTGAGACCCCTGTCTCTACAAAAATTTTTTAAAAAATTAGCTGGGAGTGGTGGCTCACTCCTGTAGTCTCAGCTACTCTGGAGGCTGAGTCAGGAGGAATGCTTGAGCCCAGGAGTTTGAGGCTGCAGTGAGGTATGATTGCATCACTGTACTCTAGACCGGGTGGCAGAGCGAGACCCTGTCTCTAAAATAAAAATAAATAAATAAATAAATAAAATTATGGAATATTTTTTCTATGATTTTTAAAAATTTGTTTCACATAATCATTATTGTACTATAGATAAAAATGTGTTCTGCTGGCCAGGCGCCATGGCTCACGCCTGTAATCCCAGCACTTTGGGAGGCTGAGGTGGGTGGATCATCTGAGGTCAGGAGTTTGAGACCAGCCTGGGCAGCATGGTGAAACCCCCATCTCTACTAAAAATATAAAAATTCGCCAGGTGTGGTGGCAGGCGCCTGTAGTCCCAGCTACTTCAGAGGCTGAGGCAGGAGAATCACTTGAACCCAGGAGGCAGAGGTTGCAGTGAGCGGAGATCACACCATTGCACTCGAGCCTGGGCGACAGGGGGAGACTCTGCCCCTCCACTACCGCCAAAAAAATACGTGTTCCGTTTTTTTCTCTCTAAACATCTCTCCATGTTATCATGGGCATTCTTTTGTTACTCTGAGGGGTGCACCGATGCCTTTTCCAGGGGAGGACTTGTGAGCCCAGCTGCTGCCTCCGCTGCCACCCCTCAGGGATTGTCTCCATTCCAGGGTGCCAGCTGTGTCATGACTGACGGAGGCTGGAGATGGAGGCCTGATCATTCCGGCCCAATATGGAGGCATTCCAATGGCCATTTCAGCTCCAGAACTCAGGGGTTTTGCTCCCCAGAGGTGAGCACCACTATCTTCTGTGTCTCTTTCCAGGGCTGGGCTGTGCCTCTACCAGCATAGACACTGTGACAGTTCATTTTATGTGACAACTTGCCTGGGCCACAGGATGCCCAGCTTGTTGCTGGTTAGACACGATTTCTAGGTGTGTCTGGGAGGGTGTTTCTGGAAGCGCTTGGCATTTGAATCGGTGGGCTCCTAAAGCAGATGGCCCTCCCTGGTGCGGCTGGGTGTCATGCTATCCACTGAGGGCCTGAAAGGAACAAAAAGGCAGAGGAAGGAGGAACTTGCTCTCTGCCTGGCTGCTGAAGCTGGGACATGGATCTTCTCCTGCCTCAGTGCTTCTGGTTCCCAGACCCTCAGACCTGGACTGGAGTCTACACCGTAGGCTCTCAGGCCTATAAATGACACCACTGGCTTTTCTGGGTCTCTAGTTTGCGGACGGCAGATTGCGGGATTTCTCTGCCCCCATAATCCCATTTTTTTGGGTATTTGTTAGAGAGGTGAGGTCTTGCTATGTTGCCCAGGCTGGTCTTAGACTGCTGGGCTCAAGCCATCCACCCGCTTTGGCCTCCCATAGTGCTGGGGATGATAGGTGTGAGCCACCACGCCCAGCCTCACACATCACTTATAGTGGCTGCGTGGTGATACCCCTTCCAGTAGATGTCCTGGAATCGCTACTACGCTTGTGTTGGACTCAAAGCAGTACTGTTTTTTTCTTTTTCTTTTGAGACAGAGTCTCGCTCTATTGCTCAGGCTGGAATGCACTGGCACAATCTTGGCTCACTGCAACCTTCACCTCCCAGGTTCAGGTGATTCTTGCGCCTCTGCCTCCCGAATAGCTGGGATTACAGGTACCTGCCACCATGCCCAGCTAATTTTTGTATTTTCAGTAGAGACAGGGTTTCACCATGTTGGCCAGGCTGGCCTCGAGCTCCCGACCTCAGGTGATCCGCCCGTCTTGGCCTCCTAAAGTGCTGGGATTACAGGTGAAAACAGTACTGCTTTTAAAATTGGTAAAAGAAAAATTTTAAGAGACAGTGTCTCACTGTGTTGCCCAGGCTGGGGGACAGTGGTGCAATCACAGCTTGCTATACCCTTGAACTCCTGGACTCAAGTGATTGTCCCATCTCAGCCTCCCGAGTAGCAGGGACGAGAGGTGCATGCCACCACAACTGGCTAATTTTTAATGTTTATTTTATAGAGATGGGGGTCTCACTATGTTGCCCAGGCTGAATTACTGTCTTTTTTTTTTTTTTTTTGAGACAGAGTCTCACTCTGTCGCCCAGCATGGAGTGCAGTGGTGCGATCTCAGCTCACTGCAACCTCCGCCTCCTGGGTTCAAGCTATTCTTCTGCCTCAGCCTCCCGAGAAGCTGGGACTACAGGTGCGTGCCACCACGCCCGGCTAATTTTTGTATTTTTTAGTAGAGACAGGGTTTCACCATATTGGCCAGGCTGGTCTCAAACTCCTGACCTTATGATCTGCCCACCTCGGCCTCCCAAAGTGCTGGGATTACAAGCGTGAGCCACTGCGCCAGACCTGCTTTTTTTTTTTTTTTTTAATGATATTATAAATATTACCTGATTCACAGTTTTTTTGTGAAGTTCTCTCTCAATTTCAGATTCTTTCCTAAGAGTATGGAGGATAGCCACTTTTAAGTCTATTGATTTATGTTACCAAATCTCTCTCCTACAGAGCTGTGCCTTCACACCAGGAGCATATCCCTGGGTCGCCTTGTCGGCAGGATGACCTTTGGTTCAGCCTAAATAGGTCCTATGCTATTCCAGTCCCCTTCCCCCTGCCTCTCAGGAGAAACCTCCACAAGCTCAAGTTATTTCCGATGTCAAATCTGCGAGTGTCTATTTCCTGTAGACATCTCCTGGCCTCCCTCCTCCTCCTACCAGGGCTGGTCACTCTCCAAGCCTCCTGCCCCAGGGCCACCCTTGCCCCTCTCCTGGGTTGGTATCTGATATGGTTTGGCTGTGTCCCCATCCAAGTCTCACCTTGAATTGTAAATAATCCTCATGTGTCAAGGGTGGTGACAGGTGGAGATAATTGAATCATGGGGGCTGTTTCCAGCATACTGTTCTCGTGGTAGTAAATAAGTCTCATGAGATCTGATGGTTTTATAAATGGGAGTTCCCTTGCACAAGCTCTCTTGCCTGCCGCCATGTAAGACATGCCTTTGCTTCTCCTTTGCCTTCTGCCATGATTGTGAGGCCTCCCCGGCCATGTGGAACTGTGAGTTCATTAAACCTCTTTTCTTTATACATTACTCAGTCTCAGGTACGTCTTTATTAGCAGCGTGATAACAGACTAATATGGTATCTTAGTCTGGGTTTCCCCTAGAAAGCAGAGCCTGAGACCCAGGCCTGCATGCTCGTAGTTGATTCTAGAAGGTGATCCCAGGAGACAGGAGAAGGGAAATGTAACCCAAGGGTGGGCTATTGAGTTGGTCACGGCTGTGGGCAGCTGGGGCTCCATCCTGATGGGTCTTTCCAAGGAGCTTAGTAGAAGGGTCCCCTGAATTCCATGCCTGAGAGACCATGTGAGGAGCTTGTATCCACCTGCTCCTGTTCCCTGATGGCCAAGGCTGGCCTCGAGGGGCTGTACATCCCTTGCACTTCTGTGATGAGCATTTACGTGTGGGGTTTCACAGATGCCTGCACTTGGCACTGTGAGGTTGTGCCTGGACAGAGTGGTGGGGAGAGTAGAAGGTGGCCTGGGAAGAGAGGTTGTCTGTGATGGATGCGGGTTCTCTTCCTGGTGGCTTGTGCATTTGTTCTGGCGGAGCTGTTTTCAGGCAGTTTCATCTGGTTCAAAAGAGGGGATGGTGACAGAGGGTACAGTGATGGCAACTTCTTAAGCCACCCAACTGCCTGCTGGACAGTGTCCTGAAATTTCACAATGATGTGGCCTTGCTGTGAGTCAGTTTTTTTTTGTTGTTTTTTTTTTTGGCAGATTTTCACTCTTGTTGCCCAGGCTGGAGTGCAATGGCACTGTCTCAGCTCACTGCAACCTCCGCCTCCCAAGTTCAAGCAATTCTCCTGCTTCAGCCTCCTGAGTAGCTGGGATTACAGGCGTGCGCCACCACACCCGGCTAATTTTTGTATTTTTATTAGAGACGGGGCTTCACCATGCTGGCTAGGCTGGTCTCGAACTCCTGACCTCAGGGGATCCACCCACCTCGGCCCCCCAAAGTGCTGGGATTACAGGCGTGAGCCACCACGTCTGGCCCATGAGCCCCTTTCATCTGGAAACACCTGTCTTTCTGTTCTGAGACATTTCCTTGAATTATTTCACTAATGCTTTCTTCCCTTCCCTTTTCTCTGTTACTTCATCTGGGAATTCCTGTTATTTAGTTGTTGGTTCTCTTGATCTGGTTCTTTAGAATACTTCTCTTCCATGGTGTCTGTTTCTGCTTTATTTTCTAGGAGATTTTCCTCAATTTTAATACAAATTCCTTTATGGAGTTTATGCCCTAAACGTTCTTTTTTTTGTTTGTATGTTTTTATACATATATCGTGTATAACAGATAATATATGAAATGTATTATACATAACATATACGATTATATATACATACATATGTATACTCGTGGTCACACATATGTGTATGTCAACCTGTTCATGTTTCATGAATGCCATTTCTTATATCTTTGAGACTATTCCAATGATAGTTGTTTTTTTGTTTTTTTTTTGAGACGGAGTCTCGCTCTGTCACCAGGCTGGAGTGCAGTGGCGCGATCTCAGCTCACTGCAACCTCCACCTCCTGGGTTCAAGCAATTCTCCTGCCTCAGCCTCCCAAGTAGCTGGGACTACAGGTGCCAATGATAGTTGTTTTAGACTGGGTGCAGTGGCTCATGCCTGTAATTCCAGTGCTTTGAGAGGCAATGCAGGAAGATCGCTTGAGCTCAGGAGTTCAAGACCAACCTGGGCAACATAATGAGACCCTGTCTCTACAAAAAATAAAAAATTAGCTGGGCGTGGTGGTGCACACCTGTAGTCTCAGCTACTTGTGAGGCTGAGGTGGGAGGATTGTTTGAGCCTAGAAGTTCAAGGGTGCAGTGAGCTATGATTGTGCCACTGCATGAGGCCCTGTCTCTAAAAAGAAAAGGTTCTTTTCTCCTTGTGTAGTTTCTGTTTCTTCCAGATCACTTTGTTTTGATACCTACCTTCCATGTTAGAGACTTTCCTCAAATGTCTGGCAATTCTTCGTTGACTGGGACCCTCTGAGTCCTTGAGAAATAAAGGAAAGGATCATATAATACTGTATAATGTATAATATAATGTACAGTGATGCGTGTTTCAATATATAACTGATTGCACGTGACTAGAGGAGAAATGATGTAGTCAGATGCTGTACCTACGTGGAGTATCCCCGTGAATCCATAACTACAAACACAGATGGGTCGGATGTTTTAGGTGAAACACACTTTAGTAGGAAATGCATGTTTCAATGAAGCAATAGCATTGGTTGCTAAACAAAAAGCCTAGGCAATAAGTATTACAAGAATCAAGAAGGGGCCTGGTGAGGTGGCTCACACCTGTAATCCCAGCGCTTTCGGGGGATGGAGGCAGGTGGATTGCTTGAGCTCAGGGGTTCAAGACCAGCCTGGGCAACATGGTGAAACCCCATCTCTACCAAAAATACAAAAATTAGCCAGGTGTGGTGGTGCACGCTTGTAGCTACTTGGGAGGCTAAGGTGGGAGGATCGCTTGAGCCTGGAAGGCAGAGGCTGCAGTGAGCCGTGATCACACCACTGCACTCCAGCTTGGGTGACAGAGTGAGACTCTGCCTGCACCGCCCCCACCCCGCTCACCAAAAAAAAAAAGAAGAGGAAAAAAAATGCGTTTGACTCAGTGAGGAAATGCTTTTGGGGACACAGTTTTCCAAATGGTGAACAATTCTTGGTAAAGTTCTGAACAACAAGAAGAACCATTTTGTTTCAACTTACAGAGTTAAATTCCTGAAACAGTCTGTGTACAGCACAACTGTGCAAATACGCATTGTGTTTATTTGCAAAATGGAGTGACTGTCTAGGCTTACATCATTATAAGCAGGTTTTCACCTACCTGAGTACGCAGTCCTGTGGAATGTGAGATACTTGCGTTTGCAGAACTGTCTCATGGTTTATGAGACATCTGACATTCCTGGCCCTTGACTGCTAAATGCCTGCAGTGTTTCCAATTCTTTTTCACCATAAATAATGCTCCCACAAAGTTTCAAAATGGCCCCTAGCATTGGTATTCCCCCAGCAAGAACTCTGGTTATCAGATCTGGTAGATAAAAAGGAAGCCTACCTCTCAGGGCTCTGAGTGGCACAGGCAAAGTTCTAATTGGATGTTATTGATGTGAATCTTCTTAGGTATAAAAGGAGACAACATCACTTGGGAGAGAAGCCATGATTAGACTGGGTCTGTTCATAGACCTCATCCTCATAGGGCTGAGAAACCAGGGCAGATAATAGGATTATTACTTAAAAGGTGCTTGAGTGGAAAATAAACTGTGTTTGCTGAAAACTGTTTGACCTACATTTTTAGGGTCCCACATCTTTCACTTGCTGACCTATAAAACATAACTTATCTAGGTCCCTGGCCGAAGGAGTCCTCCAGGTCCTTAGCCAAAATTACTCTCCAAACAATGACATAATTTGAACGTCTCAAGGCCTCAACAGGCAGCCCTTTCAGGAACTGTTTCTGGTAGAGACTTATCGTTAAGCTATACTTGAAGAGTGGTCAAGAGTTAGTAATCTCTTATAAAAATAACATTAAAATGTGGTCTGGGATTCACCTCAAAATAGTCTAGAGTGAGGAGGTGCAGATGGGTGGGGCAGATGAACCAAGATTGGCCATAAATTGATAATTGTTCAAGCTGGGTAATGTGTAAGTAGTGATTTATTACGCTTTTGAATTTCCCATACATTTAAAATTGTTTACAATAAAAAACGTCTTTGAAAATGTGCCATTCTAGGCTGAGTGCAGTGGCTCACGCCTGTAATCCCAACACTTTAGGAGGCCAAGGTGGGTGGATCACTTGAGGCCAGGAGTTCGAAACCAGCCTGGCCAACATGGCGAAACCCCATCTCTACTAAAAATATAAAAATTAGCTGGGCATGCTGGCACATGCCTGTAGTCCCAGCTACTTGGGAAGCTGAGGCAGGAGAATCGCTTGAACCCAGGAGGCAGAGATTGCAGTGAGCTGAGATTGTACCACTGCACTGCAGTCTGGGTGACAGAGTGAGACTCTGTCTCAAAAAAAAAAGTGTCATTCTAGGTTATATTCCTTTGTCTGCTGATGGCAAGGTGGAGGAGGGCATATTAATTGATATGATGCTAACGAATTGGCCGGGCACGGGGGCTGACACCTGTAATCCCAACATTTTGGAAGGCTGAGGCAGGCAGATCACCTGAGGTCGGGAGTTTGAGACCAGCCTGACCAACATGGAGAAACCTCGTCTCTACTAAAAATACAAAATTAGCTGGGCGTGGTGGTGCATGCCTGTAATCCTAGCTACTCGGGGGGCTGAGGCAGAAGAATCACTTGAACCCCGGAGGCGGAGGTTGTGGTGAGCTGAGATCATGTCATTGCACTCCAGCCTGGGCAACAAGAGCAAAACTCTGTCTCAAAAAAAAAAAAAAAAAAAAAAAGAATTGATGATACCTGTAATGCCAACACTTTGGGAGGCTGAGGCAGGTGGATCGCCTGAGCCCAGAAGTTTGAGACCAGCCTGGGCAACATGGTGAAACTCCGTCTCTACAAAAAATAAGAATATGAGTGGGGCATGGTAGTGTGCACCTGCCGTCTCTGCTACTCAGGAGGCTGAGGTGGGAGGATCACTTGAGCTTGGGAGGTCAAGGCTACAGTGATTATGCCACTGCAGTCCAGCCTGGGTGACAAAGCAATACCCTGTCTCCAAAACAAAAAGAAAGAATTGATGATATTGAAGAGTTGACATTGATGCTAAAGAATGGCAGAGACTTCAGGAACCCCCTCTATACGCTTTCTGTACCATAGCTGTTTTAAGACGGTGCATCTGAGAGCGGAAGTAAACAGCCCGTTAAGGCACTGGACACCTCCTTCCAGCACCTGCTAGCTCCAGACTCTTCCAAGGCAGGCTTGTCATTTGTCTTAAGCATCTGTCATCTCTAAAAAGTCCTAGTGATTACTTCACCAACAAGTTCCCTATAACTTGTTTTAAAAAGAAACAGAATCAAACTTGAAATAGGTATTTAAAGGAATGGCGGGGCACGCTGCCTGCCGACAAGCCCTTCATTAGGGCCCCGCATCTGTCTGAACGCTCAGTGTGTGCCCCGGGGCAGCTGTCGGAGCAGGAGTATTGGAGTGGGATTATCTGGGCCTTTGCTGTTGTGAAGATGGATGGTTTCTAAGTGGAACCTCTTCTCCTCATGGTGACCAGGCATGATATTGAGTAAAATAATGGTCAGAAAGAACATCACCAGGCCCCTAATGAGAAGCTGTTGACAGAAGAATTGCTCTAACATTCATCAAAAAGCTAATAAATGCCAAAGAAGGAACCGGAGATGCAGCGGCTCATAAATCCCTTCTCCAGGCGCCTCTGGAGGGGAGTTTTTGGAAAATGCACCTGCTCTGCCTGTTCCCTGAATGCTGCTAAATGCAATTCCAGAAATCCTAGAACACATACGGGGCAGCTCACACAGGTAGTTGTCGGGGGATGTCAACAGAGGCCACTCCAGCCTTTGGTCAGGGCAGCCTGTGCTTGGTACCAGGACTGGCTGAGTCTAGGTCTTTCTAGTCGTTTTCCACTGTGCAGTGTCTCAATTTGTAAGTTAACTGAGAGCTGAGATCCCCAACAGCTTGAAAAGTCAAAGCTTTCTATGGATGGTGCCATTTGCTTGCTAATGAGCCAAAATGGATTTTTTCCCTCTTGATTTCTGCCATACTTACAGCCTGTGCTCTTCATTTAGCAACCAATCCCATCACTTCATGGGAGCATCTTCTGCAGCTAAAGTTGTTTCACTTCTTTGCTGAGGGAGGGGATGTCTACTGAGTGCCAAATGCGAACCAGCGTCTCCAATTAGTTTGGGTTCCCTGAACAGCAGACATTGGATGGAGGACTGGTGGGAAGGTGGTTAATTTGGAAAGTGGGACGGGGGAAGGAAGGGAAGGAGGAAAGCCAATCAAGCCTGCATACACCAGCAGGTCATGGCTGTGGGCGATGAGGCTCGGTCCTGCTGGGGATCTTCTGAGAAAACACAAGCAACACCTCAGCGTTGCTCCCTCAGCGCACTGGAGGCGGGGCGCCACCCATGGACTCTGTCTTCTGCTGCCCGAGGATGCACCTGGAGGCCTCACCTCCTCCCTCCTCTGGGTGGGCCTGGTCTGAGCAAGCCCTGCCAGGAACATAAAACACCTTCCAGAGGCAGAAAGACGGAAGCTCAGAGGAGGAAGAGCTGCCACCTGTGGAAGCTGCAGGTGAACTTGGACGCGGCCAAGGGGCTCTCAGCAGGTCACCAACATCTGCTACACACATCACTCCATCTTGTCTCATTTAGCCCTCACACCCGCTTAGGAGGGAGGCATTATCATCATCCAGAGTGCAACTGTGAAGAGGCTGAGACGACTCACCCCGCATCACACAGCTGGTCCTCAGCACAGGCTTCGAGGGCAATCCTGTCTCTCATCTCAGGACAACTGTTTTGAATTTGAAAGTGGGCATGATTTATCTCGCCTACTCAACTATGTTCTGGAGGGTTGGAATTGCCTTATACTTAAAAAACAAAGCAAAACAAAAAAACCATCCCATAGTGCCCAGCACATTGCTTTGCAATGTAGTAGACACTCAATAAATATGTGATTTTACATTTGAAAAATCATCTCAGGACTGTTTCTTTTGGAAACAGACCGGAAAAAAAAAATCCATGTAACCAACATAAAGGAAGTTAAATTTGCTTTCATGGGAACATAATAGCCCGTGAAGGACAGGTCCCCACTGGTGTCAGCAGGAGGAGGGGAGTGAGGGTCCCTGTGGGGTGAGGGCTGTGGTGGGGGGCACAAAGACCCAGGCAACTGTCCATCCCTTGGGCCTTAAAGACTTGGTGAGCTGGCTGGGCACAGTGGCTCACACCTGGAACCTCAGCACTTTGGGAGGCCAAGGCAGGTGGATCACTTGAGGTCAGGAGTTTGAGGGCAACATGGCAAAACCCCATCTCTACTAAAAATTAAAAAAATCAGCAGGGTGTGATGGTGCATGCCTGTAGTCCCAGCTACTGGGGATTCAAGAATCCTTTATTAAAATACTATCCCAGGGACAGTGTTTCTCAAACTTCAGGTCTTTGCATGCCACCTTCATGATATTTTGGTCATATCTGTGTAATGCTTACATTTTTATTTATAATATTTTTTCCTTAAATTGACCCACTTACAAAAGCCTCATTTGCAAGAAATTAGAGCTGTATAATCATGAGTTTGACATGTTAGTTGATTTTTCTGATTGTGTTAGAATAATTAGAAAATATTTTATAAAAAGATTCTCCTCTGTGCCACCTAAGGTTGTTGTGTGCCTCAGAATTGGGACCCCAGGCTGGGAAACACTGGCCTGAGAGATGTGGGTATATTATCCGATGCTACCCATTTTTCAGCTTCAATCTGCAAATTGTTGGCTTTTGGTTGTTAACTATTTAATTTGTCCACAATTCCTCTTGGTCTTTACCTTCCCTGAGCATTCTGGAGCTTTTATACCACCAAAAAATACTGTAAAAAACAGTCTGGGTGGCCAGGTGCAGTAGCTCACACCTGTAATCCCAGCACTTTGGGAGGCTGAGGCAGGCAGATCATGAGGTCAGGAGATCGAGACCATCCTGGCTAACACGGTGAAATCCCATCTCTACTAAAAATACAAAAAATTAGCCGGGCGTGGTGGCGGGCGCCTGTAGTCCCAGCTATTCCGGAGGCTGAGGCAGGAGAATGGCGTGAACCTGGGAGGCGGAGCTTGCAGTGAGCCGAGATCGCGCCACTGCACTCCAGCCTGGGCGACAGAGCCAGACTCTGTCTCAAAAAAACAAAAACAAAAACAAAACAAAAACAAAAAAAACCAGCCTGGGTGTAGAAATGGTAACTATTTAATTTGAGAAAAATGTAAACATTTGAGCATATAAAGAAAATTAAAAGCACCAGTGCAGTCACTTTGGAAGATAGTCTGGCATTTCTTCAAAATGTTAAACGTAGAGTCACCCATGATAGTGAATCCTCTCCTAGGCGTTTACCCAAGAGAAAGCAGAACTAACATCCACACGGAAACCCATGAACGAGAGTTCGCAGCAGCATTTTACTCATAGGACCCAAAACATGGAAACAACCCAAATGTCCATCAACCAATTACTAATGAAATCTGGAATAGCCATATAATCAAATAGGATTTGGCAATAAAAAGGAATGAAGTGTGGATACATGCTCCAACATGGATGAATCCTGAACATTATGCCAAGTGAAAGAAGCCAGACACTCAAGGACGTGTACGGCATGATCCTGTTTATGTGAAATGTCCAGAAGAGGTAAATTTATAGAGACGAGGAGTAGATGAGTAGTTGCCTGGGGCTGGGCGGCTTGGGAGGAAATGGGGAGCAACTGCTCATGGGTACAGAGTTTCATTTGGGGGTGATGAAAATGTTCTATTTTTTTTTTTTTTTTTTGAGACAGAGTCTCCCTCCGTCGCCCAGGCTGGAGTGCAGTGGTGCAATTTCAGCTCACTGCAACCTCTGCCTCCTGGGTGCAAGTAATTCTCTCGCCTCAGCCTCCCAAGTAGCTGGGATTACAGGCACACGCCACCATGCCTGGCTAATTTTTGTATTTTTAGTAGAGATGGGGTTTCACTATGTTGGCCAGGCTGGTCTTGAACTCCTGACCTCAGTTGTTCTGCCTGCCTCGGCCTCCCGAAGTGCTAGGATTATAGGCATGAGTCACTGCGCCCGGCCGTAATGTTCTAAAATTGATTGTGGTAAATCACATAGCTCCACAAATAAACTAAAAACCACTGAATTGTATACTTTAAGAGGGTACATTGTATGGTATTTGAATTATATCTCAATGAAGCTATTATTTTGGAAAAAAAAAAAAGCACCAGTAATTCCTTCACCCAGAGTAATCCTATCACCCAAATGATAATAGTGAAAACCCTTTTCTCCACTCATATCCCCACTCTCTTACCCAGAGAGAATACCAACATATTGCAGTAAATTACATGACCCGATTTTATAAACAATCCTTTCATTCATAAGGCAAACCTTGCATCTGTCTTCACATGAGATTCTAGTTCATCATGTGCTCTTGCCTGTTTGTTTCCATAAAGGTTTTCTAGAATTTACTGTTAAGACAAGCGAGGCCTCATGTGTTTTGCATCACTGTGACACACTTTTCTTCTGTGATATTGGTCTATTTATATTTTCTAATTCTTGTACCAACCAAAATTAGAATTTATTCTCCCAGGAAAGCATCTGTTTCATTCAGATTATCAAATATATATATATGTATATATATATATTTAAGATATATGTACATACATATATTTAAGATATATGTGTATATATATATTTAAGATATATATATATATATATTTGATATGGAGTCTCGCTCTGTTGCCTAGGCTGGAGTACAGTGGCACAGTCTCGGCTCACTGCAACCTCTGTCTCCTGGGTTTAAGCGATTCTTCTGCCTCAGCCTCCCAAGTAGCTGGGACTGTAGTCCAGCTACCACCATGCCCGGCTACTTTTTTGTATTTTTAGTAGAGATGGGATTTCACTATGTTGGCTAGGCTGGTCTCCAACTCCTCACCTCAGACACTTTTTACTGCAAAATGATGAAGCCATAAGCCTCCTGTCTGTTGGGTTGAGGAAAAGTAGTCCTCCTCTCAAACATTGGGATTCCCCCTCTTTTGATCACAACTGTCAATCAAAAATCTCAGGCAGCTCCCTACTACCTAGCAGATGGCTTCAACTCCCTGGCTTTTGCCTTGGAAATCTGGCCCCAGCGTAATTTTCTCTCACTGCCCATCACGTATCGAACACTCCAGCAACCTCTTCTCACCTCTTTCACGGCCTTCTCCCCTTGGAATGTCCTCTCACATCTCCCCTGGTCCAGACTTACCTATTCTTTTTTTTCTTTTGAGACGAGGTCTTGCTCTTGTCCGCCAGCCTGGAGTGCAATGGTGCGATCTCGGCTCACTGCAACCCCCGCTTCCTGGGTTCAAGTGATTCTCCTGCCTCAGCCTCCCAAGTAGCTGGGATTACAGGTGCGTACCACCATGCCCAGCTAATTTTTTGTATTTTAAGTAGAGACGGGGTTTCACCATGTTGGCCAGGCTGGTCTTGAACTCCTGACCTCAGGTGATCCACCCACCTCGGCCTCCCAAAGTGCTGGGATTACAGGCATGAGCCATTGCGCCTGGCCCAGACTTACCTATTCTTCAAAATGCCCTTCATGAAGTTTCTTCTGGCTCTCCAGCTGGAAGGAAACTCCTCCTTGTCTGGACTCAGACAGCACCGTGTACCTCTTTGCATCTGAGGACATTCTACCTTGGGTTCATTAGTTATTTATGATTTTATCACCTCCACCAAAAGCGTCTACGATAGAGAATGCTTTAGGTTGAAAATACAGAAAATGCCCTTCAAAATGGCTTATGCCATAAGGATTATTTCACGTAATTAGGAGTCCAAAGATACAGTGGTTCAGTCACATTATCAAAGTCTTGGCTTTTTTCCATCTTTCCACTCTGCCACCTTCATTGGGAAGGCTTTTGCCCTCTGCCTTGTCTTCTTTTGAGTACAGGTGTCTGCAGCCACAACTCCAGAGAGAAGCCATTACTCTACAGAGGACAGCATCTAGGGTGGCCTTCATGAGCCCCAGCTGTTGGCATCATCCCTTGTTGTGATATGGAACCTGTGACTTGCTTCTCACCAGTGGAATATGGCAAAGGTGATGGGCTCTCTGTGATTACACACATGTGCTCACGTTACATACAATTGTAACAGCCACGTCACTAGGAGACCCTCTCTCTCCCTTGCTGGCTTTGGTGAAGCAGCTTCCATGTTGTGAGCTGCCACATGGAGAAAGCCACATGTTAGAGAACTGAGTGTGGCTTCTGCTCAGCAGCCAGTGTGACACTGAGGCCCTCAGTCTGGCAGCCTGCAAGGAACTGCCATGTGAGACTGGAAGTGAACCCTTCTCCAGTCAAGCCTTGGATGAGACTGCGGCATTGGCTGACCCTGGGATTCCATCTTTCTGAGACCCTGAAGCAGAGGATCCAGCTAAGCTGTCCCTGGACTCCTGACCCCCAGAAATTGTAAGATTAAAAAACTGGTGGGGCCGGGCGCGGTGGCTCATGCCTGTAATCCCAGCACTTTGAGAGGCCGAGGCCGGCAGATAATGAGGTCAGGAGATCAAGACCATCCTGGCTAACACGGTGAAACCCTGACTCTACTAAAAATACAAAAAATTAGCCAGGCTTGGTGGCACGCGCCTGTAGTCCCAGCTACTCAGGAGGCTGAGGCAGGAGAATCGCTTGAACCCGGGAGGCGGAGCTTGCAGTGAGCCAAGATTGTGCCATTGCACTTCAGCCTGGGTGACAGAGCGAGACTCCGTCTCAAAAAAACAAACCAAAAACCAAAAAACGGGTTATTTTAAGCTGTTAAGTTTGTGGTAATATGGTTACACAGTAATAATGAATTGAACTTCCTTGAGTGCTTTTTTTCAAGATGGGGTGTTGCTCTGTTGCCCAGGCTGGAGTGCAGTGGTGCAATCTTTGCTCACTGCAGCCTTCATCTCAAGTGATCCTCCTGCCTCAGCCTCCCGGGTAGCAGGGACCACAGGTGTGCGCTACCATACCCAGCTAATTTTTTGTGTGTGTTTTTGTAGAAATGAGGTTTTGCTGTGTTGCCCAAGCTGGGAGTACTTTTTTTCAAGAAGCCTCCCAGTCATCTTTTTGGAATTATATCATGGGTCATTCTTAATCTAGCCACTGGGAAAGGGAATAGAATTACCGAATTTGGCACAAACTAATCAAGGTTTACTTCTAAAAATAAATACATACGGAAAATAGTGAAGTGTTATTGTTACACATAGGCAAATCCAAAAACTTGTACATTTACAAGACAACCGGCCTGGTCACTTTAAATAGCCAATGTCATTAAAAAAGTGAATTGGACTGTTCTGAATTTTTTAACACTAAAACATTTTTTAAAAGGTACCTAACAACCAAATGCAATGTGTGGACCTTGATTGAATCTTGGTTCAAAAATCTAGCATAAAGTCTCTTTCAGGAACAACTGGAGAAATTTGAACATGGACTAGATAATTAATATTAAGGAACTGTTTTAAATTTTCTTAGTTGAGACAGAAGTATGACAGCTGTGTGAGAGAACATCCTTATATTTTAGAAGATGTATACTGAAGTATCGAGGACTAAGATATCAAGATCTCAACAACTTATGTTTGAATAGTTTAGCCAAAAACTATTTACACACACACACGCAGATTAAAGCAAATATGGAAACATATTAAATGTTAATTGACTCTAGATGGTGGCTATGGTTGACAGTTGTACTATTTTTTTTTCAACCTTTCTAACATTTTTGATCATAAAAATGTGGACACAGACTCACCTCCTTGGGCTGGTATCTTGGTCTATAGATTCAACGCAATCCCAATCAAAATCCCAGCAAGTTACTGTGTGGATATCAACAAACTGATTCTAGGGTGGGTACAGTGGCTCACACCTGTAATCCCAGCACCGTGGGAGGCTGAGGCAGGAGGATCGCTTGAGTTCAGGAGTTTGAGACCAGCCTGGGCAACATAGTGAGACCTCGTCTTTACTAAAGATAAAACATTAGCCAGGCATGGTGGCATGCACCTGTAGTCCCAGCTACTTGGGAGGTTGAAGTGGGAGGATCACTTGAGCCTAGGAGGTGGGGGTTACAGTGAGCTATGATCATGACATTGCACTCCAAATTGGGTGACAGAGCAAGAACCTATCTCAAAAAAAAAAAAAAAAAAAAAAAAAGAAGACAACGACGACGTACTTCCTAGGGCTGCCTGGCACAGTTTCAGCCTAAATCACCATGTGCTTTTGCATTGTAACAGACCTAAAGTCACTGGTGTAGAATCAGTCAGGGAGCTGGTGTTCTCTCACTCACTTCATTTGTTTTTGTTTTCCAGGGTCAAGCCAGCTCTCCAAGGATCTCTCAGCCAGGGCGGACAGAAACGGATACCCATGTTACTGCATGGCCCCTGAACCTGATGGAGTATGACCTACTGGGCAGAGCTCAGCTCAGCTACCCCAAGAAGTAAACAGCACAGAGGGAAAGATAAACCTTCCAGGCTTTCCGAAAGCAATTATCATGTGTGGTTATCAGAAAATTTGTATTCACTATCCCGGGGGAAGGAAGCAGAGATACAAATAAACCCAGAATTGATATTTGCCTGGGGATAAATTACATGACATTGCAGGGTGGGGAGCAGATTTTCTTTCTGGATTACTTTCTGCACAGGCGGCCATTAAAATGTATAGCTAGCCCCTGAGTGTGCATCAGCTTGGGGCCGGGAAGCCAGACTGGAGGCCATGGTTTGAGGGCATAGCGCTCATAAGGAAATGGGAAAGTCAACTTTTGATTTTCTTTTGTCAAGTGTTTGAGAAGGGTTTGTTACTTTCTCCAAGGCCCTGAGAGTTGATATCACACTCTCCCCTACATGGTGTGGGCTGGCAACCACAAGGTGGTGACTTCCATAGCAGGTCCTCTGAAGGGGAAGAGACAGCAGGTGGTCCCACGGACCTGCAGGATTCTTGAGCTGCCCACGACAGCCAGTGCATCACGCCCTCATCTAGAAGCTTCAGCCCGGTGTTTATGAGCTTGGCAGTAAAAACTCCACTGGTGCTCTGTGGATAAGCAAAGCTGGTGTCCCTTCCCTTGCACACTGGCAGTGTTCGGTAGCAAGGGGTTCAATGCTGGGGCCATTCCTTTGTCTTGGGAAACTGTCACAGGGTAGGACGGCCATTTCTTCAGGCTTGCTGACCCCAGGTTAACCTCACACCAGCCCAGTGGCCCCCTTCGGGGCAGTGTGGCCAGGGGGACAATTATCTGTGGCTTTATCAGGCAGATGGTGTCTGCAATCCTCACTCTACAATCTCAGCTGTTTGACCTTGGACAAAGCTGGCCTCACCTACTCACCCATGAGCTGGAGGTCGCTGCGGTACCTACACCACTGGGCTGGCATGAGGATGAAATTAGAATGTACAGAGGGTGCTCAGCACACAGTGTTTGTCCAGGAAGTGGCAGCTCTCATAATTTTCTGTGCGTAACGAGTTATAACAAACTCCTTTTTTTCAAGAGCACACTCTATGTTTTCTAAAATCTAGGAAAGAAACAAATTGTCTTTCTCAACAGAAACCTGTGAAAACAACTCAGGGACACCCATACCATGAGACCCTTGCCCCGGCCATTTGAATAACCACAGGCTAGAGCCTTACAGCTCTTCATCCCCAGCGTGGTACTCATCCCATGAAAGGCCACGTTCTACTCACAGGTGAAATAAACTGGTTTTAAACAATCAGCCTTACGGCAATCTTGAGGACAAGAGATTTGGGACATTTCTTGGGCCACGTTTGACCTGAAGCCAGCAGGTCATAGACTTAGGTCCCCAGTCAAACCCTTGCTCAGGTGGGAAACTCATGCACTGCACCTGGTTCTGGTCTGTGATCTCTCCTGGAAGCCGAGCATCATTTGGAAGTGTGTCTGGAGGAGGTGTTCCTTTTTTTTTTTTAATTGAGGCAGAGTCTTGCTCTATCGCCCCAGAGCTAGAGTGCAGTGGCACCATCTCGGCTCACTGCAACCTCCGCCTCTGAGTTCAAGCGATTCTCCTGCCTCAGCCTCCCAAGTAGCTGGGATTACAGGCACACGCCACTGCACCTGGCTAATTTTTGTATTTTTAGTAGGGACGGGTTTCACCATGTTGGTCAGGCTGGTCTTGAACTCCTGACCTCAGGTAATCCACCTGCCTCGGCCTCCCAGAGTGCTGGGATTATAGGCGGGAGCCAGCGCCCAGCCGGGAGGAGGTGCTCTTAATGCGTAGGATGTGTGCACCCCACCTCCTCTCCCCAGTGTTTTCATCCTCAGGTTGAGCCTGGGGTCCGGGTTTCACAAAAACGTGGATAACAAGGGCATTTGTTATAGAAATAGGAGGCACCTACTCTATGCCATCAGCGTGAGCATACAAAAACAGTTAATTGATTTTTTTTTCTTTTCTTAGACAGCTTGCAGTGTAGCTGGGGAGATAAAACATACCAGTCTCTATAAAGATTTAATTTATTTAAATCACATAAGATTATTCAAAGCCATAGGCATGATTAAGTCTCTATAGAATCAAGAAGATTTTCTGTGTGGAGAATATCTCGTGGAGATTTGAAATGTGTCGCCTCTCCTGAGCAGCCAGGATTAACTCTGCTTAGGACGTTTCAGATAAGGGTCAGGCTGGCGTCCTTCTTTCTGCCTCCATGGGTTGCCACCTTTTGCTATGTCGGGGGGTCGCTTGCTTAAGACGTTGCAAGGAGCACCCCAAATGCCAGGCTTCCCACCATAGCTGGCCCGCTGCAGGGTTCACCAGCCTTGCACTGAGGTCAGCACCTCAGTCACTCTCCATTTTGTCCTTTCCCCATGAAATTGTGGCTTTTAATGTAGGCCAAATGCTATGACACCAATATCAAGTCACGAAAGCAGCCTGTCACCTGTTGAAGCTGAGAGGCAGTGGTGGCTGGGCCAGAGGGGAAGGTGGGCTCCTGGGCGCTGCCCGTGGGCCTCACTCCTCTGCCTCCACTCACACTGGCTCGTGTGACCAGACAGGTTTTCTCTTCTGGAGGAAGGCCGTGATGCCCTCCTGCCCGTCCCGCAGGGCCAGGTTGTCCACCATGGCCTGGGAGGTGAGGTAGTAAGCCGTCCCCAGGTCCTGGGGCAGCTGCTTGTAGAAGGTGGCTTTGCCCAGGGACACCACCGGACGGCTCAGCGATGCGATCTTCCTAGCGATCCGCATGGTCTCCTCCTGCAGCTCCGCCTCTGGCACCACCTTGCTAAGCAGCCCGTGGAGCAGGGCCTCCTGGGCAGAAATGGGCTCACCAGTAAAGAGCATCTCCAAGGCCACCTACGGGGAGACACGGGATGTCACTGAGGTGCTCTCCTGTGACCCGCCCCCGCCACCTGAGTCCCGCCTCGGCTCAATGACCTGCTTCCTCAAATACCACGTCATCCGCCAGCCCTGACGTCTTCAGTGCCCTAACTCCTGCCCGGGAGGAGAGCGGATCTTTCCAAGAGCGAAGAAACCACACCAGGCCCAGGGGAGCAGTGGCTGTCCCGTGTTCTCTTGCTCCTGCAAAGATCTGGTCACTGAGCCCTGCCACGGCTGGGGATTTCGTCTACCTCTTTTGAGGGCCAAGCACAGGACGGCAGCCACATCAGATGGGATGCCCCACAGACACTGCAGTATGGGGGTGGGGTGGCGGGGAGTGGGGGTTCCAGTACCTCTCAGAACCCACTGGGGCCACCTCCCACAATAAGCAGTCACGGGGCTGTCACCTTGGCCTGACTGGAAAGAGCAGACCCAGCCTCCCGGAGAGGCAAGGATTTACAGACAATGTCTTTGGGGACCAGACGTAGAGCCCAGCATGGTTTTAACTCACCAATCGGTAAGATGTGGCAAGGAAAGGATGCCCTCTCCCCTCCTACTACCCTCCCCTGAGGTTCCAGGGCTGGTGAAGAGCGGGGGAGCCCAGCTCCCTCCCTCCTCACCGTGTCCTCTGCTTCACAACCACTGCGTGCTGCACCAACCAATTCTGTTGCACGCTACCAAGCCTGGCTCCTCTAAAGTCAAACTTAAAATGGAAAAGAGGGGTCCCCAGGTGCACAAGGACACACAGGCAGGGGCCCTTCCCTTCCCCACCCGTCACTCAGGCTCTCACAATCCTGGTGGCATCCCTGATGTTCCTCAAATACGCCCATGCACCGTCACCTCAGGGTCCTCGGACTCGCTGGTCCCTCTGCCTGGGGTGACTTTTCCCTGGGTGTCATCCTGGCACACGCCCTCATTGCAGGCCTCTGGTCCTGCATCCCCTATCACTGAGGTCTTCCATGGCCGCCCTGCTCCAAGTGTAAAACGAACCCTGATGCGACTCCCGTCTGGCTACATTTTAAATCTTTTGCACTTCTCTCCATTTAACACCCTATATATTTCACGTTTGTTTATAGTGTATGTCCTTTGTAGCATGTAAACTCCAGTAGGACAGGATTTTTTTTTTTTTTTCCAAGATGGGGTCTCACTATATTACGCAGGCTGGTCTTGAACTCCTGGGCACAAGTGACCCCACGGCCTTGGCCTCTTAAAGTGCTAGGATTACAGGTGTGAGCCACCATGCCTGGCCATTTTTTTTAGTCTTCTGTTGATTTCTGTATCTCCAGCACTGGAAGACTGTCCTGCACATAGCAAGCAACTTATCAAATATTTATGAGGGAAGGAAGGAGAGAGGGAGGAAGACAGGCAGGCAGGCAGGAAAACAGAGTACAGCACAAGTGGCAGGTTGGTTCCTTTGAGACAAGGGCAAGGAGGTGATACAGCTTGCAGCTGGCTCTGGCTCTTGCTCTTGGGACCTGGCCTCCATGCTGTGAGGAAGCCCAAGCCACACGGAGAGGCCGGGTGCAGTGTGCCGCCAACTACCCTTGTGGGGGCCCAGCTGAGAGGTAGCATTCACAGCCAGACACGTGAGCAAGCAGCCTTCAGATGAATCCCCAGCTGAGGCTGCCAACCTTCTGGAGCAGAGAGAAGCCTTCCTCGCTAAGCCCTGTCCAAATTGCAAATTCTGTTGTCTTGAGCTACTATACTGTGGGTGGCCTGTTGCCTGGTGACAGCTGGACTAGCCGGAGACACACACAGGGGAGGCATCAGCATGTAGAGTGGGGTTTTTCAACCCTGGTGATACTGACGTTTGGATAACTTTTGCAGGGAGGGTGGGGGCTGTCCTGTGCATTGCAGGATGTTCTGCAGCATCCTTGACCTCCACTCTCTAGTTATCAGTAGTACCTACCCCCCACCAAGCTGTGACAATCAAGAATGTCTCCAGGTATCGCCACATATCCCTGGGCCAATACTGCTCCCAGTTTAGAACCACGGATCTAGAAGGTTTTTAAGCCACAGGACTAGATTGGATCCCCCAGAATTGAACTTGGATAGAGAGACCAGAAGCCTGGCCCAAGGCCCCTCCTGCCACCATGGGTGGAGATGGAGCCCACATGCACTGGGCTGGCAGCCAGGGACGGGTGATGCAGGGCCTCCTTTTCTCCTCTGTAAAGTTAAAGGCATGGACTAAATCACCACCTCTGTTTTGGAACTGTACCGATTTTACGTTGGAGGAAGCAGGAACGTGACAGCTATGGGGGTTCCAGGGCAGACCATTTTTAGTTGACCAGGAAGAGCACTTCATGCCAAAGCGTGTCTGAAGCCCTGGTTGAACCAGGAGCTAAAAAGCGGATCCTGTTGTGAACAGCTGTGAAATAGGACCCTGCTGAAGACACCTAGCAGGTCACAGCACGGGGCCAGGACAGTGCTCTGCTCCATCTCTGCCCCTGAACTGCGTGTCAGCTGGGATCAGAAGCCAAGGTGGAGACCGTGTCACAGCTCCTCCCAGCCACTTACCCTCCACTGACACAGGCGGCTCTTGGGGAACTCAGAGGGACCAAATGTCAGAAAGTGGCCAAGCCTGAAAAACTGATGCAACAAGAAAAAACAACGAAAGCCACCCAAGTCAACCTTATCGATCCCTTTGTCACTTGCAATGATCAAGTCCTAGATGACTCTCAGAGTCGTTAAGAATGGAGTCAGAGCTGGAAGGAGGAAAGAGTAAATCCAAAGTAGTAAGTGTTCCTTCCTGGCCGGCTCAGCAGATGGGCAAGTATTCATCCCAGGTGGGGGGCTTGCAGCCTGGGCCGGCAGTGTGTAGCTGCAGAACTGCACGGAATTCCAAATGCCCCAGATGTTTTGGGGTTGAGTCCTTTGGAGTCCAAGCTTCACAGGCGGGGCCTGGTCCCAAGCCTGCTGGGCACTGGTCCTCCTGGGACCTCTGAGCAAGCCATTTCTCACCTCTCACTTCCGCAGCCAGCACGCTCGGGTACAAATGACCATCACCAAGGGACACAGTGAAGAAGCCACTAACTAATGACAGCAGGGCACACTGTCACATCAAGTACAATGGAAAGGCTGGGGGAAAAATTGTCCATCTGAGCCAGACATAAATCAGGGAGGTCACTATGAAGATTTTGCTTGCAGAAGAAAAGCTCAGGGACCTGGTTTGAGCTCAAGGGACCTGGCTGAGCCAGATGTACCTGAGTTCCAACCCCAGCTCTGCCACTTACTAACCACAAGACCTTCAACTAACGCCTTGGAGTTTGTTTCATCTGGAAAACAAAAATGAGCACCTCCTGCAGTATTGCAAGGATTAGAGATAGCAGGTGCAAGGCTCGTATAATAACAGTCCTGGGCACTCAGTAGGCACCCAGTGAATGCAACACCTATTTTTTAACACAACTAGGCCAACTGCAGATGGTCCATGATCTCTAATGCTGGCTTTTAAATGGTTACCCCAGCCTTGGAACGGGGGTGATTATTTAAAGCAGAGGGGTCTTCTGGATCTCATAGGCCACCCAAATGGCAAGAACCGTGTGCTACAGCCCACAAGGGACTCTCCCCACGTCATGCCCCTTTGCATGGGTGTGGTGTCTTAGTCCATTCAGCCTGCTGGAACACAGCACCACAGCCTGGTGGCTTATAAACAACAGACATTTATATCTCACAAGTTCTGGAGGCTGGAGAGTTCAAGGTGAGGGTGCCGGCACTCAGCGACTGGTGAGGACCTGCCTCCTGGTTCGTAAACGGGGCCTTCTAGCTGTGTCCTCACATGGAGAAAAAGGGGGTAAGGCAGCTCTCTGGGACTGCGTGTTTTTTTTTTTTGTTTTTTTTTTTTTTAAGAGATGGAGTTTTGCTGTTGTTGCCCAGGCTGGAGAGCAATGGCACGACCTCGGCTCACTGCAACCTCCGCCTCCAGGGTTCAAGTGATTCTCCTGCCTCAGCCTCCCGAGTAGCTGGGATTACAGGCATGCGCCACCATACTCAGCTAATTTTTGTATTTTTAGTAGAGACGAGGTTTCGCCATGTTGGCCAGGTTGGTCTCGAACTCCTGATCTCAGGTGATCCACCCGCCTTGGCCTCCCACGGTGCTGGGATTACAGGCATGAGACAACCACGCCCAGCCTGGGGCTGTTTTCATAAAGTCACTGATCTCATTCACAAGGGCTCCATACTCATGATCTCATCACCCCCAAAGGCCCCACCTTCCAACACCATCACCTTGGGAGTGAGGATTCAACACAGGAATTTGGGGAGGACACAGCATTGAGACCACAGCACATAGCATCTGTCTCCCAGGGAGCACCAGCAGCAGGGTGAGGAGCTGCAGAAGGAGCACTACGGAAAGAGTCAGGCCTGAACAGAACCCATGGGATACTTGTGCACACACACACATGCATTCGCACTGGCACCATGGCACCAGCAGGGTCTGTCCCTGGGGCTGCCACATGGCCAGGCTCTGAGGGAAGCACACTGGAGTGAGGGTCATGGGTCCCATCTCACTGGCCGGACACAGGACACGAGGCCCTGAAACTCCCAGACCCTCTTGCAAACTGGGTGTGGAACTGTGCGTCCTCTAAAACTTCACTCCCAACCTCTGGCCACACAAATCACTGCTAAAACGCAGCCTGTCTGGGGCAGGCTGGAGACCCAGCCTTTCTCCCAGGCTCTCTAACATCTGCACCAGTTTGAGCAGCGGGCTTTAACCATCTTTCCAGCTTGGAAACCCCACTCTGTTCTCATTAGCTGATTAGGAAATCAGAGTCTGCCTGCCTCAAGAAAATGACTGTTCTGGGAGGAAGGGCTTCTCATTTCCCACGTGCTCTCCAGTGAGGCCGGCTGCTTGAGGCACTGGCTCAGGGTCTGAGCAAGGCCAGCTCTGCCTGGGAACGGAGCAGCTGCGCCAGGCAGGGTGTTTTATAGGGTGCCAGAAAGATGCATTATTTAGATCATGCCCAAGGAGAGAAGCTCTTTACAAATGGGGAATATTATTCATGTCCAGGCTTGGTCTGATTTGAACAGACAGGCTTGATTGCATAGTTTCTGCCCCAGTCTCCAGCACAGCCAAGCAGGTCCCTGCGGCGGCCAGGAGAGGGCACTAGTGACCCATACATGTTGTCTTATCCAGTGTGAGACAGGCCCAACTTCCTGCCCAGGCCAGTTTGCAAAGTACCTGCTAGCTTCCCTGTGGGTGTATGAGGGACACGCACCCACCCCCCAAAATACTCGGTGGGCCTGTGCATGGATGTCCGTGGATGGGTTCACATGCGCACAATCAGCAAAGACAACGGGCAGGTGGTTTGGGTCAGGTTTATTAGATTGTTATGAATCCCAGCTTTTCCTCCTAAAGCAGGCCCACACAATTAGATCTGCAAATCCAGAAACCTAACAAAGGCATTAAGTTCCAAAAGCCTGTTTCTTCCTGCAAAATTCCCATTATCAGTACTGTGATTTCTGCTTTTCAGTGTTGACCCCAAGCCATGTTCCTGAGTCATGGCTCTGAGTGGCCCAGCATTAATAAGCCCAGCGTGCAAGGGCTTGTTGACAGAACTCTGAACCGCTTTCAGGCAGCTGATTAGAAAAAACTGGCGAGTCTCCAGTTGAGTGATTTAGAGGCCTTCTGGGGGTCAGAACATGAGAACAGAGACCAGGAACCTGAGTAGGGCTGTCTGGAGATTTTTTGCCCCATTTTCTGAGAAGCTCTGTCCTTGGGAGGTAAAAGCTACTTTGGTTCATCCAACTGGGTGATTATGAAATGGGGTTTCTGAAGACTGGGCTTCCTTGGAACTTAAGGCCTGTTTTTGTCATATTTTCCCCCTTTTCTTCTCAAAAACTTTAAATTTTATCAATTTAAAACTTGATAAATATGGTCTAGCGTTAAGTTTCTAGGAATCAAATTTAATAAGCCTTGATTTCAAAAGTTTAAGAGAGAATGGGTTCTTATCCAGACAGTAGGGCTGACTTCAAGGTTTCAAGTGCTTTACTGTGGAACCTTCCAGCGCATCAGGTGTTGAAGAGGACAAGCAGCTGTCAGCACAGCTGTCTTTTATTAGACAAAGGCCTTGTAAGTTGATTTGCACCATTATAAGATAGTTTATGAATAAGCTCTGACAATCAATTTGTTATACACAAAGTAGAGTCTTAAGAAATATTTACTGAATGGGCCAGGTGCGGCGGCTCACGCCTGTAATCCCAGCATTTTGGGAGGCCGAGGGGGACGGACTACTTGAGGTCAGGAGTTTGAGGCCAGCCTGGCCAACAGGGTGAAACCCCATCTCTACGAAAAATACAAAATTAGCCGGGTATGGTGGCACGTGCCTGTAATCCCAGTTACTATGGAGGCTGAGGCAGGAGAATCCCTTGAACATTGCAGTGAGCTGAGATAGCGCCACTGTACTCCAGCCTGGGTGACAGAGCGAGACTCTGTTTCAAAAAAAAAAAAAAAATTACTGAATGAGTTTAAGGTAAGTGTCTATCTTGACAGAATCGAAAACATCCTCTTAGTCTGAAGACACTTTAGCCAGCCGGCACCTACTGTAGTGTGAAGCCCACTTCCAGCCCACTGTCCTAAGTGTGTGTGTTCGCAGGTATCTGTCTTCAGAATTTCCCCACAAACACACATTTCTGCAAAAACTAACAAAGGGGCACTGCAAAAGAAAGGAATACTTCCCTAAACTTCTTGGTCCTACTACTGGATTTCCCTTGGATCTTATTTCTTTTGCGTCTTAGGCATGTGAGCAATTGCTGATTTTCACAGCTGATGCTAAAGCAGATCATATACATTAGAAAGCAATTTAGCTTCTTTGCTTGGTGTGGTCTAAGATTCTGCCCCCTTTTTTATAGATTTCCAATTAAGAACAAGGATGCACTTTTTCCGCAACAAGAACACTGTTGGTTTACACTTGAGGGAAGTTTAGGAAATATTATTTTATGATGTTATAGGAAGGAAGAAAGCTTTGTGGCGGAAACAGACTTCACTGTAGTTAACAAAACCACTTTGCAACACGGCTCCTTCTTGGGCAGATTCAACATACCACGCACAGGAGATTCATGTTCCTGAAATGCAACCGTTGTAAACCCAACACACTCCAGAAATCACCTATTCTAAATCCGTTCTGGAACAAGACAGACTGTTGATGAAGAGTGAGCCAGCGACACTACTATCCTAGGCTCTTGATACTGGCATTATGTCAGTACGCTATTCTATCTCATGGGCAACCATTCAGTGCAACAAAACTGAGTCTCAATTGCATTTCAAATAAGATTACAAAATATGGGCCATTAGGAAGACAAACAAAACTAATCGGCAAACCTACCCAGTGGTACTGAGGGTACGCATGATGGAAATGCAGTGATTTCACAAATTGACGCCTGGCGTCAGAAGCTACAGAGGAACAGGCAGGCGGTCGGCTCTTCCCTCCCTGCCATTAGAGGGAACATCCTGGCCCATCTAGCCAGAGGCACTCTGGGCAGAACGTCCTGATATGAAAGGCACTTTTAACAAGCGGATCTTGAATCATCGCATGCACTGGAGGAGGAACTCCGGAGAAGGCTGGGAGGCAGAGGTGGGTGGGGGGAGTTAAATTACCTTTCTAGGCACTGCTCTTGCCAAGGCAACCCCAGGGGTAGAACAGAAGAGCCCGACGTTCACCCCAGGAGTGGCAAAAGAGGACTTGTCGCTCGCCACGGCAATGTCGCAGCTGGCAACCAGTTGACAGCCGGCAGCCGCGGCCAGGCCATTGACCATGGCAATGACGGGAACGGGGTGGTTCCGGATGTGCATCATGACCTGCGGGACAAACACACCTACTTCATTTCCACCCAGAGGGAGGCACGACATTAACGCCTATTGCTTTTTTTTTTTTTTTTTTTTGACAGAGTCTCACTCTGTTGCCCAGGATGGAGTGCAGTGGCAAGATCCTGGCTCACTGCAACCTCTTCCTCCCGAGTTCAAGCCATCCTCCTGCCTCAGCCTCCTGAGTAGCTGGGACTACAGGCATGGGCTACCACGCCCAGCTAAATTTTTTTTGGTATTTTTAGTAAAGATGGGGTTTTACCATGCTGGCCAGGCTGGCCTGGAATTCCTGACCTCAAATGATCCACCCACCTTGGCCTCCCAAAGTGCTCAGATTACAGGCGTGAGCCACCACGCCCAGCCAACGTCTCTCATTTTATATGACTTTCCTGTTTCCAGAGCACTTTTCATAAGCGTGAGTTTATCCGATTCTATGGAAGAAGGGTGAAAAAAGGCACAGAAAGCACTAACTCCTATTAAATATCTACTCTGAACCAGGCACTGTAATTTGGTCTTTCTGAGAGCCCCATGGGGACAGAGCCCTATTGTACAACAAGGACACTAAGCTTGGTGGGGGCTGCCGCAGGGGGTGGCCCCAAGCTCAGCTCTTGAGTAGTGACAGACCCCCGCCTGCCTTCCTGGCAAATGTGCTGAAGAAGAGTGTGGATTTTTCTCTCTGGGGAACAAATCAAACCCTTCACAGACAGTTCTGTCCTCACTGTGCTTGTGTGAAGCTCTTGGGTTAAAGGTCTGAAGCTGGTATTTGGTGCTTCCTTGAAAAATTGAGGTGGAAAAGGGCCTTGAAGGCAGTTTTCTTAATAATTACTTCTCCAATTACCACCATGAAGATGCTCCCAATTCTATTAAAATGGGGGTGGGGGGACTCTGCTGTCATCAAAGTAAACAAAATTCCTAAAATAGAGCCATTGGCACAGAGAGGAGAGACAAAAATATGCTAATGTGACCCCTCCAACCAATACATTTCCAGAACTTTAACTTATTTTTGCAGCTTATGTTTTCATGCCACAGAGTGTGTTGCTATGGTAACTTCAATTTCTAAAGTGCTGCTCTTTGAACCTTGGCAGGGAGAGAGGATGGGAATACCCCAAGGCAGGTATTCAAAGACAAATGACCTTCATTGATTTGAAGATTTTGTCTAAGAAGCTTATCTTTTATATCCATAAACGTTTGATATTTGTTAGCTTTCTTCTAAAATAACCAATTATATATTTAAGGCTATGGTATCATATCCTATAGTAGTGCTTTTTGACTTTTTTTGGGGGAGGTCTCCTTTTGAGAACCTGATAAACGCTAATGACATTTCTCTTCCCTAGGATAAATGAGGAAATACATCCTCCTCAGAAGAACACAGGTGGGTGGATCATCTGAGGTCAAGAGTTTGAGACCAGCCTGGTCAAAATCATGAAACCCTGTCTCTACTAAAAAAAAAGTACAAAAATTAGCTGGGTGTGGTGGCACGTGCCTGTAATCCCAGCCTACTTGGGAGGCTGAGGCAGGGGAATTGCTTGAACTTGGGAAGTGGAGGTTGTGGTGAGCTGAGATCGCGCCATTGCACTCTAGCCTGGGTGACACAGTGAGACTCTGTCTCAAATAAAAATAAAAATAAAAAGAAGAAGAATGCACAGATAAGTAAACACCTGTACACAACACTATTCACGGATTTAGGGGGTTCATGCACTGTAAGGCGAGACTGGGGATGGGCTAGTGAGAGTGCTCATTACCAGTGAACTGGAATGAATAACAAGGGGAAGAAATCCCAAGAACTTCTAAAGTCTTGCTGCAAAGAAAGAAAAGATTTTGTTTTCGTTCTGAGTGTTGTTGCACCACCCAAGGAACTGAAGTTACTAATGAAAAGCCAATTGACTGGGATTAGAGTTGAACAGTCTACCTGTCCTGTCCATCATCTGTGAATGGCTAGGATTTCATAAAACTTGGCAGAAAAATAGGTAATATGTATATATTCAACATTAAAAAAGCATATAATTATTAATTTTTTTTTTGAAACAGACTTGCTCTGTCACCCAAGCTGGAGTGCGGTGGCACAATCTTGGCTCACTGCAACCTCCGCCTCCCGGGTTCAAGTGACTCTCCTGCCTCAGCCTCCCGAGTACCTGGGATTACAAGTGTACACCACCATACCCGGCTAACTTTTTTGTATTTTTAGTAGAGACAGAGTTTCACCATGTTGGCCAGGTTGGTCTCAAACTCCTCACCTCAACTGATCCACTCACCTCGGCCTCCCAAAGCGCTGGGATTACAGATGTGAGCCACTGTGACCGGCCTAAAAATGCATACATTCACCTTTGATCTAGGAATTCTACTTCTAAGAAATAATGTGAAATAGGTAAAAAGCTCTATGCCAAAGATGCTCACCAAATCATTATTTTGTAATAGTAACAAACTATAAATAATATAAATATACAAAATAAATAAATGGCAGTGGAAACTAAACTACATCGACTAGGATGCTGTATTCTCACTGAAATGAAAATTTCCAAGAGAAACACCAGCATGGCAGTCTGGAGCTTATGCAGTGGTCTGGAACCAGGCTGCCAGGGTTTGACGCCCAGTCTGTCACTTACTCTGCCTAATCCTGGACAAGTCATTTAACCCCTCAATTTTCACATCTGTAAAATGGACATGATAATAGCACCAACCTTATAGAACACGACAGTTATATAAATTAACATATCTAAAGTACTTAAAATATTATCTGGCATATAGTAAGCAATCAATGCTATAATCATATTACGTAATTCTATACTGTAATCTCATCTATATATGATTATTTAGAAAAACAGGTTCACATGGAAAAATGATCTAAAAGGAAATACAGCAAAATATTAATCATGGTTCTCTCTGGGTGGTATGATTATGGTATGACATCGGTAATCTTTTACTGTTCTAGACTTTCAAAACTGTTTACAAGTACTCATTACTTTCATGATTAAGACTATTTTAGGCCGGGTGCTGTGGCTCACACCTGTAATCCCAGCACTTTGGGAGGTCAAGGTGGGCGGATCATTTGAGGTCAGGAGTTTGAGACCAGCCTGGCCAACATGGTGCAACCCCATTTCTACTAAAAAAAAAAAAAAAAAAAAATTAACCGGGCATGGTGGTGCATACCTGTAGTCCCAGCTACTCAGGAGGCTGAGGCAGGAGAATTGCTTGAACCCGGGAGGCAGAGGTTGCAGTGAGCCGAGATCATGCCACTGTAATCCAGCCTGGGCGACAGAGTGAGACCCTGTCTTAAGAAAAAAAAAAAGACTATTTAAAATATAAAGTTAGAGAGAAGTTCAAAAAAGACAAAGGGAATTTAAATAATCAACAAGCTAGAATAATCAAACACTTGATAGTCAAGAACTGATTATACCTATTTGACCTTCCTGAATTAGGTACTGTTTTGGGTCTGCTGACTCCAAAATGTGACATAAATAGAACTCTGCCCTAACCTCCTTTAACAGCATCGCTAAGGGTTTCATGTTATCTCCCCAAAGCAAGAAATCTTGTCCCATTGTCATTTGATTGACGGGGTATGAGAGCAAAGTGCAGAATCTTCTCCTAAACTAGAGTTTCCGTCTCCAAACTTCAACAGGATGTAAGTAGAGAGACAAGGAAGAAGTCTCTAACCTGAGCGCCATGGCAGGTCATTTTCACTCTTCCAGAGCCAAGTTCTTCTCATTCTCATTCTACTCATCCTTAATTTGCCCTACTCCTGGTTTGTATATAATTAACTATCATGCAGTACTTGTCATCTGTAACCAATTGGTATAGTTTTTAGATGCTTAGCTAATTCAGATACCTCTATCCTCCTTTCTAAAATCAAATTTTCTCATGCATGAACTGAACAATGAAATATCTAGCTCATTCTGTTCCAATCTGCTGTTGATTTCACTTGGAAATGGAAATCTTGCACAAGTTCATGGCACTCATATTTATCCAAGACAATGTTATTTTCTTAGAAATGGTTTAAAGATATCAATACACTTTCAGTCCTATTTTACTACTTTGGGGTAGGCCCTGTTTATGCACTGAGTCTTTTTCAGGGAGTCAGAGGCCTCCAAGGGTTAGGGGCTTCCAAGAAATCTGGGCTTTATCCTCTGAAGAAGGCCTGCTCCCCTGTGGCCCATGGCTATGCTGTTTAGATCCCAGTTCATGAAGTTACCAGAGCAGAGTGATAAAAGCAGACCCTTAGGGAGGATAAAAGGGCTTTACTGGTTCTCTTTGATGCTTTTCAACTTTAGCCAAACATACTGGGTATTGGTAGAAAAAAACTTTTAAAGCACCAAGGCTTGGCAAACCCAAGAGTGGAATGTTACATAAACATCATTAATGTAGGAAACGAAAGACCCAGGTCTCGGCTCTAACTTGCTCCCACTTCCCCATGAAGCTTCGAGTAAATTGCTGTTCCTGTTTATCCTTCCATGTAGTGACAAAAATATAACCTGATCTCTTTATGGGTTTCTGGAAGGGCAAGGAAAACAAATGGGGATGTCTTAATCATCTTCCCATTCACATCCCTGTTGCTCACTTCTGTCTTGTATCATTAAACATCTGTGAAATCATTAATGACCAAATACATGAATGAATAAGTCAATGAATGAATAAAAAATTAGGTTAAACTATCTTAGAGGCAGGTTATGAAACCATTTTATATGTGTTGTTTCCCAAATAGATTTTCAGTTTCAGTTTGGCAGAAAACAATTTTTTCTTATGTTTCCCTCAATGTCTTGCAGGTACTATAATAGGTGCTCAATAAATGGTCATTAGATGAACAATGTATTACTTAAAGCTGGATTCACTATTCAATTTTTCATTACCCAAGGGGTTGATTTCATGCCTTTATAAATCATCCAAAACTTTTGTGCCTCTTCTTCCTCTGTGGCTGTCGGTATTTTTCCTCCTTAATATGGTGAAAGAGGCAGAAAAGAAGCAACAACGAAGAGGTTAATTTTCCTACTTGGAGGTGGTGATTATAAAGGCTGGTTGAAAGAAGCATTCAAAAATAATTTTAAAAACCATTATTGTTATTCCATTTATTAATGTTCTTTCCCATTTAATAGAGTTGTTTTAGTTTAAAATCTTTTAAAATTATTATAATCTGAGATTCTTCTTCCCTAAAGACGCACATTTTCACCTTTTCCTTCTTACTCCAAACTTCTATACCAAGACATACTCCCACAATGCTAGACATGGCAACTATGAGTACCATCCTATATTCCACTTTCTTTGGTATAAAACAAAATCAATAGCAAATTATGGTCACTTCTTAAAAGTCTAAACTAGGCTGTGCACGGTGGCTCATGCCTGTAATCCCAGCACTTTGGAAGGTCGAGGGAGGAGGATCATCTGAGGTCAGGAGTTTGAGACCAGCCTGGCCAACATGGTGAAACCCCGTCTCTACTAAAAATACAAAAATTAGCCAGATGTGGTGGTGCATGCCTGTAATCCCAGCTACTCAAGAGGCTGAGGCAGGAGAATCGCTTGAACTTGGGAGGCGGAGGTTGCAGTGAGCCAAGATTGCACCACTGCACTCCAGCCTGGGCGACAGAGGGAGACTCTGTCTCAAAAAAAAAAAAAAAAAAAAAAAAAAAAAAAAAAAAAAAAGGTCTAAACCAAATAATTGCTGGATTGCTGGGATAAAGGATCTGATGACCAAACAGTTTCCAGTTGCTCTGGGTGTTTGGGTCTCATGGATAAAATCTTATCTGTAAGGTCGAAGGCGAACTCAACATTTAATGTAATGATCATTTGCAGGTTTGCACTGTCGACTGTCGTCTTGGCTTACCTTGGAACAGGTCTGAAATACTTCGGCATGGTAATCACGGCCTTGCTCCTCTGTCAGCTCCTTTAAGTCATGCCCAGAAGAAAACACAGGCCCCTCAGCTGCAAATGTTTCCAATTGAGAAAAGAAAACAAAAAGATGTAAACACCCAGAGTTGGGCAGTTAGTTCCCTTCCTTGTCTACTGAATAACTTCAGCAAACTTTCACTTAGAGCAAGTTAATGGCCTAATTTTGAGAAGAATAATTCCAGTTTGCTTGAAAAGTTCCAGCCAGAATTTTGTGATGAAAAATGCAAGGCGAGGCATTTTTTAGGTGCCTCCGTGTCCTAAAATTTCTTCATGGAAAATGATAGAAATACACAATTACATAAGGAGAAGATTCAGTTACCAAGGCGAAGGTATTTTATACAGAGCCTTTATTTGGGGACTCGCTCTGGCCTGAGTGTATTGAGTCACACAAGCTCATCAAAATCCCCCATGCCGAAGGCAGTGTCCATGTCATTTCATCTACAAGTAGTGGCCAGCCGTCATGGCTGAAGTGGGAAGGTGAGGGTAGGAAGAGACCTCGGAAGCCTTCTGGTCTTCATTTTACAGATGAGGGATCATAAGATGTGGCTGCTATCACTGCTGTCATCAACAAGAAAATGTCATCCTACTGATGAGCTGATAACATTTTCTCATACTTCCCTTTTGTTGCTGTTGTTGTTGTTTGAGACAGAGTCTTGCTCTGTTGCCCAGGCTGGAGTGCAGTGGCACGATCTCGGCTCACTGCAACCTCTGCCTCCCAGGTTCAAGCAATTCTTGTGCCTTAGCCTCCTAAGTAGCTGGGATTACAGGTGCCTGCCCCCACGCCCAGCTAATTTTTGTATTTTTGGTAGAGATGGGGTTTTGCCACGTTGGCCAGGCTGGTCTCGAACTCTTGGCCTCAAGTGATCTGCCCGCCTTGGCCTCCCAAAGTATTGGGATTACAGACATGAGCAACCATGCCTGGCTGTTGTAGTTATCTTGATTGATAGGCAATATTATTGTCTTTTTGTAAGTGAGGTAATTATGTAGTTAAGAAGCTATAGTGAGACCCCTGTCTCTGCAAAATAAAACCTTAAAAATTAGCCAGGCACAGTGGTGGCAATGTTGCTTGAGGCTAGGAGTTCGAGACCAGCCTGGGCAACATAGCAAGACACCATCTCCACAAAAAATAAAAAATTAGCTGAGTGTAGTGGCACACACCTATAGTCCCAGCTACTCAGGAGACTGAGGTGGGAGATCACTTGAGCCCAGAAGTTTGAGGCTGCAATGAGCTATAATCATGCCACTGCACTCCAGCCTGGGCAACAGGGCAAGACTATGTATCAAATAAAAAAAAAAAAAGAAGACGTTAACTGCCTTTGCTGTATCCAGGTAACATCCCACATGGCTGCTGGACTGTACTAGTTCTAATTTCTTTTCTCTTCACCATATAAAACAGTTGAACACTTTTGATTAACCATGGATAAGATGGTAACATTCTGAGTTTCTGCCTCCAGAAACACTGATGCTTGATTTGCCAAACAAACATAGCATCACAAAGCATCATCATCATATTTTTTTGTGTATGCTTTAAAATGCTAATATTACTATTATTTATACCAGTCCCATCATCACAAGAAAAAATAATTCTGTAAAAATTCCTTTTGGAGCAAGCAAACAAATTAGCAGAATATGGCATCTTTTCCAGCACCATTAAAGGCACTGCAGATATCAGTTCGAAAGCTTGGTAAGAAAAGAAAAGTCAGACCAATCAAATGCGCCAAAGGATTAGTGGTTAAACCCATTTTATAAGGTCCATGAAGAAATCAGTTCTCTGATTTTGAGGGGAAGACCAGTATAGCCAAGTACAGAAATGTTTTAGTATCTGACAAAAAGGAAAAGACATAGTTTCACTGAACAGTCATCTTTGTTATAAATTCTGCAGTTAATAGCGTTAGGACCAAACCACCAACTACACAGGTGTTTTCCATAATTAATGTTCTTGTAAAGGAGCTTCAAAACAATTCTCCAGTTAAATAAAGGGATGCCCCAGTTTACTAAAGACTCAGAAAGCTCTTGTGGGCACTGCAGAATACTAAGGACAGATATCAGATACATACCCGAGATGATAATGACTTTCAGATCGTTGCTGTCAGCGTCATGAAGAATGTCACTTTGGAGAGACTTCAGCATTGCAAGTGACAACGCGTTCCTCTTCTTGGGATTGCTCAAGACGATGTTCCTGTGAAGAACATTTTACAATCACAGGGTCACACACCAGTCAAAACAAGTGAGGACCCCTGCGATTCCTGTCTAATTTAGGAGGTATTTTTAACAGACAAGAAAGGAGAACTGCTGGGGCTTAGTGCCAATTTAGAGGGTCTGTCAACTCTCTGGAGTTACAGCCAAGTCAAAACAAGAAAAAGGCGACCTGAAATGCAGGCTGGGTTTCCTCCCTCTTCCCTTGATTTGTTTCTCTTTTTCTCCATGTTTGCTGTCAGAAACATGACTGCCACCTCCACGGAGAGGGCAATGCACAGCGGTTCCAAAATCAACACCACCCAGAGAGGCTGCAAGCTTAGCATGATAGCAGGCGCTGGAGAAATCTGACAAACAGTGGCTACCTTCCACTGCTTTCTTTCCATTGTTCCTTAGAAAAAAGTTAGAAAACGAGCCCAGAATGAAAATAACTCCCTCTATAGATCTCGGCTCACTGCAACCTCCACCTCCCCGGTTCAAGCAATTCTCCTGCTTCAGCCTCCCGAGTAGCTGGGACTACAGGTGCCCGCCACCACACTTGGCTAATTTCATATTTTTAGTAGAGATGGGGTTTCACCATGTTGGCTAGGCTGGTCTTGAACTCCTGATCTCAGGTGATCCGCTTGCCTCAGCCTCCCAAAGTTTTGAGATTATAGGCATGAGCCACCATGCCCGACCCAATTTTTTATATTTAATTTTTGTGGGTACATATAGTAGGTGTATATATATTTATGGGGTACATGGGATGTTTTGACACAGGCAAGCAATGCGCAATAATCACGTGATGGAAGATGGGGTATCCATCCCTTCAAGCATTTATCCTTTGTGGATGACAAAGGATAAATCAACAATCCAATGATACTCTTTTAGTTAGTTTCAAATGTACAATTAAATTATTATTGACTATAGTCACCCTGTTGTGCTATAGAATTCTCGGCCTTATTCATTCATTCTATTTTTCTGTACCCACTCCATCTTTTTTTTTTTTTTTTTTTTTTTTTTTGAGATGGAGTTTCACTCTTGTTGCCCAGGCTGGAGTGCATTGGCATGATCTCAGCTCACTGCAACCTCTGCCTCCCGGGTTCAAGTGATTCTCTTGCCTCAGGCTCCCAAGTAGCTGGGATTGCAGGTGTGTGCCACCACACCCAGCTAATTTTTGTATTTTTAGTAGAGCTGAGGTTTCACCATGTTGGCCAGGCTGGTCTCAAATTCTTGACCACAGGTGATACACCCGCCTCAGCCTCCCAAAGTGCTGGGATTACAGACGTGAGCTACTGCACCTAGGCCCGTCTTTTCTTACAGTGGCATCCTGTAAGTTTACAAAACAATTCATGCTGTCTGCAAGTGGGCTGATACATGAAGGAAAAAAGTACAAGCCACACAGCAAGAGGGCTCTTCTGGACATATCCTCTCACAAAAAGCTGGCGTCCAAAGGGCCTGTTTGCTCTTTTGAGGCATCCCACATGCTGAATAAAATAACCTGTATTGTCATCTTGCTGCTTATACACAGAAATGTCTTATTTTTGGCTGTTACAAGAAATGGGCAAAGAGCCAAACACCAGATTGTTATTATATATTTTATATGTTTCCTATCAGTTTTCACCTACAGGTTTCCTACCTTCCTCAATCTTTTTTGAATCTGATATTCCTTCCGCGGTACAGCCAACTTGGATCCTCCATAAATAGTATTCTGTGTCATGGTTTTCCGGAAAACAAGTTTGATGACTGAATTGATTTCAATAAGAATAACCACTTTCTTTGGAATACCATTTCAAGGTTGCTGCAGTCTTCAAGTGGCTGTGCTATTCATCTTGTTGTTTCTTATAAACATTGTTCTCTCCTAAGTACAAAAATTACTTGCACTGATTTGCTGATAGACTTCAAAACTTATATTTGGTGGGGGTGGTGGGAGAACTGCTTATAAACCTCTCCATCAAATATTGAGGGTGCTTCTTGTAGCAAATATAAAAAGCTGCCATCCCATCGGTGACGTATGCTTAATCTTAGTGCTAAGGTCTCAGGCAAAATTGTATAAAAAGATTCCAGCCCCCGAGGCCATTGTGCGCCGCGGAATCTGTTCATGTGTCCTGTTAGCTGTTTGGCTCCCACACTGTGAGTGTTCTAAACTGCAGAGTCCACTCTCCAACCCAGAGGAACCAGGCTCAGCTCCTCCCACCCCACCCAAGCTCTTCTCACCAACCATCTCCTAATTTCCAGATCCAAATCCACTGGCCATCTTGATCACTCCCTCCTTCTGGAGACAGATTTCTTCTCTCCTGGTTGTTTTGTACTTCTCTGGTCGGTCCTTCTTGACTTCTTTCGTGGGCTACTAGCCCTCTGTTCACCCCTGAATGTCAGCCATCCTGAATTCTGTCCTCCACACTCTTCCCAGGCAACTTCACCGATGACTTTGATGTCAACAGCTGCCTCTGAGCTGAGCTCCAGGTGCACGCGTTCATCCCGATGTCTACTGGCCTTCTCCATCTAGGTGTCTTTGGGCATTCCCCCATTCTCAAACCTGGCCCTCTCCTCTCTTTCTTATCTGAGCAGTGCCACTCAATTGCCTGAATGAGAGAAAAAGTCATTCTAGTTTTCTATCCCTTCCTGATTCAACTGGCATCAAAGCCTGTTAATAATACCTCCTAAAAAAATCTCTTCACTGAACCCTCCCAGTGGCCATCTTGGTTCAAAACATGCGATGCCTTGCACCGAGAGCTCCACCAATATCACCTATCCGAAGAGAAAACCTCTTTAAGAATGAGGTCACCACCAGAGCATGTGATAAGTGTCAAGGTAAGAGATGGTCCCTATAAATGCCCCCATGAGCTGTCTGAAGATCATTATTGTAAACCACGAGAAGGTCCCTGAAGTGAGGGACTGTCATGTTCTCACACAGAGAAGACACTCAATATCTGTTGACCTAAGGACAAAAAATAGCATTTCTATTTTTTCACAGCCAATTCCACCGAATGCAGTGGAATGACATCACACCCCATTTTTTCACCATCTCTTTTCAAACCAAGTGGTGAGTAGAAACAGAGTAGAAACCACTTTGGGGCAGAGGGACCTCTCTGAACCCTGGTGAGACCTACTGGCCGTGTGGCCCTGAACAGGCTGTCACCTCTCTGAACTTGCTTCCTCACAGTAAAGTGGGCATAAAATTATCCACTTTGCAGGCCACTGTTAAGAATTAGGGATCATGGATGCAGGGAGCCCAGCACAGAGCTGGCCCTGGGTCCATGACAGCAGTGCTGCTGGGAGGAGGAGCATGGAAAAGGGACACTTGAAGAGTGGTGGGTCGCTCAAGTTCTTGCTCAAGTTCACCTGCTTAGTGCCCAACATAATGCTGCTTTAATGCTTGGTTAAGAAGTTTCCTTTCCTACTAAACAAACCCTAGCATTCATGTGAGAGTGTTTCAGTCACCACCTTTGCTGATTCATATTTAATTCTGGAGAACTCGACCGGCCTCCTTTTTGCCATCTGGCCGCCATGCCCAGAAGTCAGGCTTCCAACCAGATGTGACCAGATTTACAGAAGCAGAAACTTAGCAATGGGCAAGAAAGACCCTGGCCTGGGCCCTGCTCTGGCCTGTGCTCCTGTAGTTGATGAGCAAGGGGTCCACAGGGAAGGGAACCATCCCCTTTCCAAACCCTGCGGCCATTACTGAGACCCTGGAATTCCCTGCCCCTGCTGTGGGCACCCCAAGCCCAAAGGTGGCCAAGAGCAGCTGTCTGTAGAGCATGAGGGCTGGAAGGGTGTCTGCAGATCTGTGCACCCAGCCCCTTGCAGAGCAGCAGAAAGGACGGGTGCAAAGGTAGGAAAGGATGAGAGGAGGGTGAGGAGAAAAGGAAAACGCTGAAGCCACGGGCTGGCTCTCTACCCCTGCGGGGAACCACCTGGTCATCTGAGGATTATCAGTTCACAGGCGGCCTTCTAGGTCTTCTTCGGAAGGTGAACATCTCAGGGTAGGAGAAGACGACGTTTTATTTAATAGCTTGATTTAGAACTGAAACATGCTGAAACACGGTACGCAGGCCTCCCTTTGCACCCTTGCCCCGGCCAGGCAAGCACCCGGCTCAGGCCTGGAGGGGGTAGGGCCCTCCACCTTCATGACTCCATCGCCCAGATTCCAGTTGGCGTACAAGCACATTTTTAAGAGTTTTGGGCCCGTAGCCACAAGGGCAGCGCTCAGGAAGCTGTGCACTTTGTCCTATTTACTGTCCTGGCCCCCAGCCCCGCGCCTCTGTGTGAGGGCCAAGGAGCAGCTCGACCAAGCCCACACTTCCCCTAGGGCCGGGTCTGGGGCCCAGAGCCCTCCTCTCCAGGCCTCTCCGCAGGCCCAGCGACTGGAGGCCCAGTGACCCCGCAGGCTGCCCTGAGGGCTTTGGAGCCCCGGGCAGTCCCACCGACGGCCCTACAATCCCACCTGCGCGTCTCGCTGCCAGGCCCGGGTCCGGGACACGGGGAGTTCCCTCCCCAGGGGCGTAAACGGGGCTCCGGTTCCCCGGGTCCTCCCCGGGTCAATGGCGGCGCCCTGACCCCGACTCGGCACCAACGCGAGGAGCCCGCGCGGCCCGGGGCTGACCTTATGCCGTCCAGCTGCCGCGCGCTGGTGGGCCGCGGCTCCGACTCCCGCCGCCCCGCCCCGGCCGGGTCCCGGCTGCAGAAGCGGGCGGGGAGCTGGGCCCAGGGGCCGCGCCGGAGACACATGGGCCCACTTGCCCCGAAGGCCCGCAAGACGGCGACGGCGGCCATAGCATTCGGGATGGCCAGACGCCGCAGGATCGCGCTGCCTGGCCGGCCGCAGGTGCTGGGCGCTCCGAGGGCGCTGCTGTGAGCAGGGCCGGGACGGAACTCGACGGAACTCGACGGTGGCCGAGACCCGGACGGAACCGCCTGACAGGCCCAGGCTTCGCGGGGACGCCCCAGGCCAGGCCCAGTCCGTACTACGCCCCGCCCCGGCACGCCCCGCCCCGCCCCGGCACGCCCCTCCCCGCCCCGGCACGCCCCGCCCCGCCCCCACGAGGCCCGCCCCCGGCTCGCCGCTCCCCGCCGCGCCCCGCACGGTGAAAGGCGCGCATTGAAAACCTGCAGGCCGGCTCCAGGGGTTGTTTGACAAGGCCTGTGGGAAAGTTTAAGCGAGGGGAGGAGTAGGATGATTTCTTTTTGCACCAACACCGGGAATGTGGCGTTTGCCTGCATTAGGAAAACGAGCGTCAGGGGTGATTGGCGCTGCACTGTTAGCAACCGCTCCCCTACCTGCCTGGGAAACGCCCCGAGCCTGGAGGGCGAGCACGTGGGGGGCCTGGCTGCGCGGATGTTGACTTTTTAATCCTTTGTGTCCTCTCATCCAGACGCTGGGGGTCCACACTTTAAGTTTCTGCCTCCAGGTATCTGGAAATGGAAAGTGAGTTCATAAACAAAATAAAGTTAAATTTCCGGAACACCTGAGCTTGATCTCCCAGTCATGCCAAGTGCCACCGACGAGGCCGAGCACGGGGGAGCACGGGGGTCGCAGAGCCTGATAAAAGTGACCGCCCCCAGGGCTTAGGGTCACTGCTGGTCTCTTACTAAGATGACTTTCGCTGGCTGGGAGGAGATGAGGAGGCCCCACTCCACAGGGGAGCTGGTGCAAGAGGGAACTGATACACGGGGTTTCGGGAAGACGAAGGAGCTAGGAGAGCACTCCGAGCCTGGACTGCGCAGATGAAAATGGAAAGACGGCTGGGCGCGGTGGCTCACGCCTGTAATCCCAACACTTTGGGAGGTCGAGGCAGGTGGATCACCTGAGGTCAGGAGTTCGAGAACAGCCTGACCAACATGGTGAAACCCCGTCTCTACTAAAAATATAAAAAATTAGCTGGGCATGGTGGCGCGCGCCTATAGACCGAGCTACTTGAGAGGCTGAGACACGAGAATCGCTTGAACCCGGGAGGTGGAGGTTGCAGTGAGCCGAGATTGTGCCACTGCACTCCAGCCTGGGCGACAGAGTGAGACTCCGTCTCAAAAGAAAATGGAAAGGCTCAGAGGCCACTTCCACCTGCTTCTACATTTAATAATAACAGGTCGCTCTTTGTGGAGCCCCACTCTGCCAGTTCCTGTACCTATGCCGTCTCTTTCAACATTCGGGGTTGTCCAGGCAGGTATCATTATCGCAGTTCCCACCAATTTCACCAGCCCTGTTGGCACCAGGCCTAGTAGTTACAGAGTCAGGACGGGGCTGGAGGTCAGATGAAGGATGGCGCTGTGGATGGAGGGTCCCCTCTCATCTGAAGTCCTAGGCCTGCGTTCCCATTCCTTTCATGTCTCCCTCCTCCCTGGTTTTCTTTCAGAGCCTGCAGCCCCCAGTTTGAGCGTGGTGAGCAAAGAGGGACATGCAGGTGGACGGCCACCGCATTACCCAGGCAGAAGTCGATAGAACTTACTGAATCTTGAGTCCTTCCTCAAGCAGTGCAGGACTCTTTTCAAATTCAGGCTGCTTCTCCCGGCCTCCTCTGCTTCTCATTAACTTTTGCAGGGGCTGCCTTTCTTTCTTCTCTCTTGTTCAGTGCCTTTCTAATCTATTTTCCACGCAGGCTTTCTCCCTGACACAATTTGATTTCTAGGTGGCTAGCAGGCTTCTCCCTGGCTTTGATTTCTGCACTTCTTTCCTGTGCCACATGTCTCTGCTGCACAGATGTGTCTTTGCTACCTTTTCACATTTCCTTTAAAGACCCGCAGATGCCTGATGGAACACTGCAGAAATAACTCAGGATGAAGACACGGTTCCCGGGAGGCCGTGGGAATGAATGAAGGAAGACTTAGACCACCTCAGGGCTCAGGGAAAGAAATGTGAAGTACAGATTTTCAGCTTCTTATGGAGTGGTTTTTGAATTTATTTTTTATTTATTATTATTTTTTAATTTCAGGCCTTTCTAAGGTAGACATGTAATGACATGGTTCAGAGGTGCAATGGGGAAGATGGTGAGGCCTACTTTCAGTGAGAGCCCTTGGGCATGTAACATGATCAGATTCCAGTTTCCCACCCTCATCCTCCACTCCACATCTGTCCCCCCCAGCCCCACAAAGCCAAAGGAGGATCAAGCGCCCATAAACCAGAAAGATTTCAGATTTTCATTGGTCCACACAGCTGCAGATGCTTGGCCATGTCCTGGTTTTATTATTCTGTATTTTATTAATAATCCACCAGTCATTACCCACGTGCCTCTTGCAAACTTAAATGTCTTCACAAGGACCCAGACCTTGAGTTGGGTGAAAATTAGTTTAGAAGATAAATGGAGGTGTGGGGGTGAAATGAGCTTCCTTTGCTCCCCACTTGGCATGGATTTTTGAGGTTGCTCACATGCCTTAAACAAAACGGACTCGGCTGGGCGTGGTGGCTCACAACTGTAATCCCAGTGCTTTGGGAGGCTGAGGTGGGTGGATCACCTGAGGTCAGGAGTTCGAGACCAGCCTGGCCAACATGGTGAAACCCCGCCTCTACTAAAAATACAAAAATTAGCTGGGCATGGGGGCACGTGCCTGTAATCTCAGCTACTTGGAAGGCTGAGGCAGGAGAATTACTTGAACCTGGGAGGCAGAGGGTGCAGTAAGCAGAGATTGCGCCACTGCACTCCAGCCTAGGTGACAGTGCAAGACTCTGTCTCAAAAAAAAAAAAACATCAAAACAGACTCAGTAACTTCAGGTAAGGTCTGGAAGAGCTGTGTAAACTGATGAAGAGGTATGTGTTTCACAGCATCCTGGTTACAGATAACACTTTAAATGAGCTTGAAAAGTTAAAGGATCGTGATAGTGACAGTGATAGACACCATCTAGGGGGCAAGAAGTCGCTTGGGAGAGGAATGTTTAATGTTGGATTCGTTAACTGCTGTTAAAGAAGGACAGCTGTGGGGCAGCTGCAGAACCCAGGCTGCTAATCACCATTCATTGTCCCTCAATGAGGACGGAGCAGGAGACCAAGGATCAAGCCAAGTCCCAAAGCCACAGCAGGGGCTGGTACCCACTCACCCCTATCTTCTACACCTCCTGCATCTGCATCTGATATGGTTCGGCTCTATGTCTCCATTCAAATCTCATCTTGAATTGTAGCTCCCATAATTCCCATGTGTTGTGGGAGGGCTCTGGTGGGAGACAATTGAATCATGGGGGTGGTTCCCTCATACTGTTCTCATGGTAATGAATAAGTCTTACAAGATCTGATGGTTTTATGAGGGGAAACCCCTTTTGCTTCGTTCTCATTCTGTCTTGTCTGCCACCATGTAAGATGTGCCTTTCGCCTTCTGCCATGATTGCAAGGCCTCCCCAGCCACGTGGAACTGTGAGTTCATTAAACCTCTTTTTATTTATAAATTACCCATTCTTGGGTGTGTCTTCATTAGCAGCATGAAAATGGACTAATACAGCATCTTAGCTACATGACCTGCATCTCACAATAATTTTAATCCTGCAACACAAAGAGAAGGTTCAGTTACATTTCGATAATTCAAGAAGAGAACACGCATGATGGCTCACACCTGTAATCCCAGTGCTTCAGGAGTGTCAGGCGGGAGGCTCACTTGAGGCCAGGAGTTTGAGACCAGCCTGGGCAACACAGAAAGCCCCCAACTCTACAAAATACAAAAAAAAAAAAATGAGCTGGGCATGGTGGCCTGTGCCTATAATACCAGCTACTTGGGAGGCTGTGTGAGGAGGATTGCTTGAGCCCGGGAGTTTGAGGTTATAGTGAGCTATGATTGTGCCACTGCACTCCAGCCTGGGTGACAGAGCAAGACCCTGTCTCTAAAAAAAAGTAATAATTCAAGGAGAAAGGAAAAGTAGTTGCCATTCTGACATTGATCAGGTTAACCTTCAGTCAAATGAAACATTCTACCATAAAGAGTGATACTTGCTTGAACATTCCGGACAGCCTCTGCAGAAGAGTTCCTGTAGTGGTGGTGGGGTGGGAGATGGGAGGGCATTTTTCCTGACTGGAAGGAGGGGAATGACTTCACACTTAGGTCAGTGAGCGAAGGGGATGGGACAGGCTCAGCTCCTGGTAATTGCTATATTACTAGGTTGATGACCTTAGCATGTTACTTCTGAGCCTGTTTCCTTGTCTGTCAAACGAGAAGAATAATACTATCATTCATTTCAAAGAATATTTGTTGAGCCCATTATGTGCCAGGTACAGATCTAGGCACTGGGGTTATCGCAGGGAACAAAAGCAAGTCCTTGCTCTCAGAAGGCTTGAGTTCTAGTGCAGGGAAGCAGAAAATAAACAGAGTAGATGATGTGTCAGATGGTGAGGGATGCTCTGAAGAACCTTGGAGGAGGTCGGGGCAGAGGGAGAGGGATGCGACCCTATTGCAAGGTGGGGGAGTTGGGGAAATATTGATAAATTGATGTCTGAGCAGAGACCAGAGGAAGCGAGGGAGTGAGTCACGCAAGTATCTAGGGCCACAGCTGCCCAAGCAGCGGGAACGAGCACAGATGCTGAGAAGCAGGAGGACCCAGTGAGGTCAGGGAACAGCGAGAGGTCAGGGTGGGTGAGCAGAGGGAGGGAGGATGGGTGCTTGGCCTGTTCACTCTGAGAGAGAGAGAGAACCACAGGAAGTTTTAGCACGGTTGGGACATGACCCAACTTACGTGTTCAAATTATTCTCCTGAATGCCATGTTAAAAATAAACTGTAGCTGCCTGCTGCTATGTGAGACATGCTTTTGCATCTCCTTGCCTTCCACCATGATTGTGAGGCCTCCCCAGCCATGCAGAACTAGTTCCCTAGAGATCTGTGGAACTTTGAACTTGACAGAGATGATTTAAGGTATCTGCCAGAAGAAATTTCTAAGCAGCAAAGCATTCGAGAAGAAGCAGAGCATAAAAGTTCAGGAGGAGCCAAGATGGCCGAATAGGAACAGCTCCGGTCTACAGCTCCCAGCGTGAGCGACGCAGAAGACGGGTGATTTCTGCATTTCCATCTGAGGTACCGGGTTCATCTCACTAGGGAGTGCCAGACAGTGGGCGCAGGTCAGAGGGTGCGCGCACCGTGCGCGAGCCGAAGCAGGGCGAGGCATTGCCTCACTCGGGAAGCGCAAGGGGTCAGGGAGTTCCCTTTCCGAGTCAAAGAAAGGGGTGACGGACGCACCTGGAAAATCGGGTCACTCCCACCCGAATATTGCGCTTTTCAGACCGGCCTAATAAACGGCGCACCATGAGACTATATCCCACACCTGGCTCGGAGGGTCCTACGCCCACGGAGTCTCGCTGGTTGCTAGCACAGCAGTCTGAGATCAAACTGCAAGACGGCAGCGAGGCTGGGGGAGGGGTGCCCGCCATTGCCCAGGCTTGCTTAGGTAAACAAAGCAGCCGGGAAGCTCGAACTGGGTGGAACCCACCACAGCTCACGGAGGCCTGCCTGCCTCTGTAGGCTCCACCTCTGGGGGCAGGGCACAGACAAACAAAAAGACAGCAGTAACCTCTGCAGACTTAAATGTCCCTGTCTGACAGCTTTGAAGAGAGCAGTGGTTCTCCCAGCACGCAGCTGGAGATCTGAGAACCGGCAGACTGCCTCCTCAAGTGGGTCCCTGACCCCTGACCCCCGAGCAGCCTAACTGGGAGGCACCCCCCAGCAGGGGCACACTGACACCTCACACGGCAGGGTATTCCAACAGACCTGCAGCTGAGGGTCCTGTCTGTTAGAAGGAAAACTAACAAACAGAAAGGACATCCACACCGAAAACCCATCTGTACATCACCATCATCAAAGACCAAAAGTAGATAAAACCACAAAGATGGGGAAAAAAAAAGCACAGAAAAACTGGAAACTCTAAAACGCAGAGCGCCTCTCCTCCTCCAAAGGAACGCAGTTCCTCACCAGCAACGGAACAAAGCTGGATGGAGAATGACTTTGACGAGCTGAGAGAAGAAGGCTTCAGATGATCAAATTACTCTGAGGTATGGGAGGACATTCAAACCAAAGGCAAAGAAGTTGAAAACTTTGAAAAAAATTTAGAAGAATGTATAACTAGAATAACCAATACAGAGAAGTGCTTAAAGGAGCTGATGGAGCTGAAAACCAAGGCTCGAGAACTACGTGAAGAATGCAGAAGCCTCAGGAGCCAATGCGATCAACTGGAAGAAAGGGTATCAGCAATGGAAGATGAAATGAATGAAATGAAGCAAGAAGGGAAGTTTAGAGAAAAAAGAATAAAAAGAAATGAGCAAAGCCTCCAAGAAATATGGGACTATGTGAAAAGACCAAATCTACGTCTGATTGGTGTACCTGAAAGTGATGCGGAGAATGGAACCAAGTTGGAAAACACTCTGCAGGATATTATCCAGGAGAACTTCCCCAATCTAGCAAGGCAGGCCAACGTTCAGATTCAGGAAATACAGAGAATGCCACAAAGATACTCCTCAAGAAGAGCAACTCCAAGACACATAATTGTCAGATTCACCAAAGTTGAAATGAAGGAAAAAATGTTAAGGGCAGCCAGAGAGAAAGGTTAGGTTACCCTCAAAGGGAAGCCCATCAGACTAACAGCGGATCTCTCGGCAGAAACCCTACAAGCCAGAAGAGAGTGGGGGCCAATATTCAACATTCTTAAAGAAAAGAATTTTCAACCCAGAATTTCATATCCAGCCAAACTAAGCTTCATAAGTGAAGGAGAAATAAAAGACTTTACAGACAAGCAAATGCTGAGAGATTTTGTCACCAGCAGGCCTGCCCTAAAAGAGCTCCTGAAGGAAGCGCTAAACATGGAAAGGAACAACCGGTACCAGCCGCTGCAAAATCATGCCAAAATGTAAAGACCATCGAGACTAGGAAGAAACTGCATCAACTAACGAGCAAAATCACCAGCTAACATCATAATGACAGGATCAAATTCACACATAACAATATTAACTTTAAATGTAAATGGACTAAATTCTCCAATTAAAAGACACAGACTGGCAAATTGGATAAAGAGTCAAGACCCATCAGTGTGCTGTATTCAGGAAACCCATCTCACGTGCAGAGACACACATAGGCTCAAAATAAAAGGATGGAGGAAGATCTACCAAGCAAATGGAAAACAAAAAAAGGCAGGGGCTGCAATCCTAGTCTCTGATAAAACAGACTTTAAACCAACAAAGATCAAAAGACACAAAGAAGGCCATTACATAATGGTAAAGGGATCAATTCAACAAGAAGAGCTAACTATCCTAAATATATATGCACCCAATACAGGAGCACCCAGATTCATAAAGCAAGTCCTGAGTGACCTACAAAGAGACTTAGACTCCCACACATTAATAATGGGAGACTTTAACACCCCACTGTCAACATTAGACAGATCAACGAGACAGAAAGTCAGCAAGGATACCCAGGAATTGAACTCAGCTCTGCACCAAGCAGACCTAATAGACATCTACAGAACTCTCCACCCCAAATCAACAGAATATACATTTTTTTCAGCACCACACCACACCTATTCCAAAATTGACCACATAGTTGGAAGTAAAGCTCTCCTCAGCAAATGTAAAAGAACAGAAATTATAACAAACTATCTCTCAGACCACAGTGCAATCAAACTAGAACTCAGGATTAAGAATCTCACTCAAAGCCGCTCAACTACATGGAAACTGAACAACCTGCTCCTGAATGACTACTGGGTACATAATGAAATGAAGGCAGAAATAAAGATGTTCTTTGAAACCAACGAGAACAAAGACACAACATACCAGAATCTCTGGGATGCATTCAAAGCAGTGTGTAGAGGGAAATTTATAGCACTAAATGCCCACAAGAGAAAGCAGGAAAGATCCAAAATTGACACCCTAACATCACAAGTAAAAGAACTAGAAAAGCAAGAGCAAACACATTCAAAAGCTAGCAGAAGGCAAGAAATAACTAAAATCAGAGCAGAACTGAAGGAAATAGAGACACAAAAAACCCTTCAAAAAATCAATGAATCCAGGAGCTGGTTTTTTGAAAGGATCAACAAAATTGATAGACCGCTAGCAAGACTAATAAAGAAAAAAAGAGAGAAGAATCAAATAGATACAATAAAAAATGATAAAGGGGATATCACCACCGATCCCACAGAAATACAAACTACCATCAGAGAATACTACAAACACCTCTACGCAAATAAACTAGAAAATCTAGAAGAAATGGATACATTCCTCGACACATACACTCTCCCAAGACTAAACCAGGAAGAAGTTGAATCTCTGAATAGACCAATAACAGGAGCTGAAATTGTGGCAATAATCAATAGTTTACCAACCAAAAAGAGTCCGGGACCAGATGGATTCACAGCCGAATTCTACCAGAGGTACAAGGAGGAACTGGTACCATTCCTTCTGAAACTATTCCAATCAATAGAAAAAGAGGGAATCCTCCCTAACTCATTTTATGAGGCCAGCATCATTCTAATACCAAAGCCAGGCAGAGACACAACCAAAAAAGAGAATTTTAGACCAATATCCTTGATGAACATTGATGCAAAAATCCTCAATAAAATGCTGGCAAAACGAATCCAGCAGCACATCAAAAAGCTTATCCACCATGATCAAGTGGGCTTCATCCCTGGGATGCAAGGCTGGTTCAATATTCGCAAATCAATAAATGTAGTCCAGCATATAAACAGAGCCAAAGACAAAAACCACATGATTATCTCAATAGATGCAGAAAAAGCCTTTGACAAAATTCAACAACCCTTCATGCTAAAAACTCTCAATAAATTAGGTATTGATGGGACGTATTTCAAAATAATAAGAGCTATCTATGACAAACCCACAGCCAATATCATACTGAATGGGCAAAAACTGGAAGCATTCCCTTTGAAAACTGGCACAAGACAGGGATGCCCTCTCTCACCGCTCCTATTCAACATAGTGTTGGAAGTTCTGGCCAGGGCAATTAGGCAGGAGAAGGAAATAAAGGGTATCCAATTAGGAAAAGAGGAAGTCAAATTGTCCCTGTTTGCAGACGACATGATTGTATATCTAGAAAACCCCATTGTCTCAGCCCAAAGTCTCCTTAAGCTGATAAGCAACTTCAGCAAAGTCTCAGGATACAAAATCAATGTACAAAAATCACAAGCATTCTTATACACCAACAACAGACAAACAGAGAGCCAAATCATGAGTGAACTCCCATTCACAATTGCTTCAAAGAGAATAAAATACCTAGGAATCCAACTTACAAGGGATGTGAAGGACCTCTTCAAGGAGAACTACAAACCACTGCTCAATGAAATAAAAGAGGATACAAACAAATGGAAGAACATTCCATGCTCATGGCTAGGAAGAATCAATATCGTGAAAATGGCCATACTGCCCAAGGTAATTTACAGATTCAATGCCATCCCCATCAAGCTACCAATGACTTTCTTCACAGAATTGGAAAAAACTACTTTAAAGTTCATATGGAACCAAAAAAGAGCCCGCATCGCCAAGTCAATCCTAAGCCAAAAGAACAAAGCTGGAGGCATCACACTACCTGACTTCAAACTATACTACAAGGCTACAGTAACCAAAACAGCATGGTACTGGTACCAAAACAGAGATATAGATCAATGGAACAGAACAGAGCCCTCAGAAATAATGCCGCATACCTACAACTATCTGATCTTTGACAAACCTGAGAAAAACAAGCAATGGGGAAAGGATTCCCTATTTAATAAATGGTGCTGGGAAAACAGGCTAGCCATATGTAGAAAGCTGAAACTGGATCCCTTCCTTACACCTTATACAAAAATCAATTCAAGATGGATTAAAGACTTAAATGTTAGACCTAAAACCATAAAAACCCTAGAAGAAAACCTAGGCATTACCATTCAGGACATAGGCATGGGCAAGGACTTCATGTCCAAAACACCAAAAGCAATGGCAACAAAAGACAAAATTGACAAATGGGATCTAATTAAACTAAAGAGCTTCTGCACAGCAAAAGAAATTACCATCAGAGTGAACAGGCAACCTACAAAATGGGAGAAAATTTTCACAACCTACTCATCTTACAAAGGGCTAATATCCAGAATCTACAATGAACTCAAACAAATTTACAAGAAAAAAGCAAACAACCCCATCAAAAAGTGGGCGAAGGACATGAACAGACACTTCTCAAAAGAAGACATTTATGCAGCCAAAAAACACATGAGAAAATGCTCATCATCACTAGCCATCAGAGAAATGCAAATCAAAACCACAATGAGATACCATCTCACACCAGTTAGAATGGCAATCATTAAAAAGTCAGGAAACAACAGGTGCTGGAGAGGATGTGGAGAAATAGGAACACTTTTACACTGTTGGTGGGACTGTAAACTAGTTCATCCATTGTGGAAGTCAGTGTGGCGATTCCTCAGGGATCTAGAACTAGAAATACCATTTGACCCAGCCATCCCATTACTGGGTATATACCCAAAGGACTATAAATCATGCTGCTATAAAGACACATGCACATGTATGTTTATTGCGGCACTATTCACAATAGCAAAGACTTGGAACCAACCCAAATGTCCAACAATGATAGACTGGATTAAGAAAATGTGGCACATATACACCATGGAATACTATGCAGCCATAAAAAATGATGAGTTCATGTCCTTTGTAGGGACATGGATGAAATTGGAAATCATCATTCTCAGTAAACTATCGCAAGAACAAAAAACCAAACACCGCATATTCTCACTCATAGGTGGGAATTGAACAATGAGATCACATGGACACAGGAAGGGGAATATCACACTCTGGGGACTGTGGTGGGGTTGGGGGAGGGGGGAGGGATAGCATTGGGAGATATACCTAATGCTAGATGACGAGTTAGTGGGTGCAGCGCACCAGCAAGGCACATGTATACATATGTAACTAACCTGCACAATGTGCACATGTACCCTAAAACTTAAAGTATAATAAAAAAAAATAATAAAATAAACTGTAGGTGGCAAAGAGCTGAAACCAAGAGACTAGCTGCACGGAAGTGGCACTCATCCACATGACAGTGGATGGTCTTGGACAGAGTGGCATTGGTGGGGTGCACGTGAGCAGTTGATTCTAGATATACTTTGAAGGTGGAGTGGACAGGATTTGTAGATGGATTGGGTCTAGAGTAGAAGGAGAGGAGTCAAGGATGGACTCTAAGTATTTTGGCCTGAGCTACTTATTTTTGCTACAGGATCCTTGGGGTGTTGCTTTGCCACCCAGAAACCTCTGTGGCCAGTGGCACCTTTGCCTGAATTTTTCTTAGGCCTGCTGGGCTCTTTCTGCCCACTCAGCCTGGCAAGCTGCGCTCAGCTCATGCTACTGGCCTGGATCCTGCACCTGCCAAGGGCAATCCAGGTGTGAAGCAGCAAGGGGTGCATGAACGAGCAAGCACAGGGTCCGGCCATTGTGCACAGCCAAGCACGCTGGCTACTGCAGTGTGGTGGGCAGCTCCAGGAACCAGCACAGGTGCCAGCTCCCTGTGAGGCTGTGGCTGGACCAGGCGTACCACAGGTCACTTCCACTGTGAGCACCAGGAAACATGGTGGCATCTGGAAGCTTGGAGATACCAGGAACTGCAGAGCCCCAAAGAGGATATCACAGCCCTGGCCTGGGGATCTCCTAGGTCTGAGCTCCCTGAAGGGCTGCAGATGGTCTCTCCTTCTTTCTTCTCTCCTTCTTGTTGCCTGCAATGTGGTGAATGGGGTAAGGGAGGCAGCAGGGGTGTGTGTTTCAGCCTTGTTTGTGTTACAGCTCTTTCAGTCCTACCATTTGGTGGGTCCTGGGTTCTTGTCCCACATCCAGGAAGAATGAGGTACATGGACAACTAGAGGGTGAACAAGGCAGAGAGGTGCTTTATGGAGCGTCAGTATAGCTCTCAGGAGACTCAAAGTGGGTAGGTCCTTTCCACAGACAGGTTGACCCGTTGGCTGTGAAGCCCTCAGCAGAGAGGAGACCTGGAGTGTGTAGCTCCTATCTGCAGGCAGATTGTCCTGTCATCTGCTGGGGCCTGGCTGAATTTGGGGTTTTTATGGACTTCAGAGGGGAGGAAGTGTGTGCTGAGTGCACACACTCAGTGCATGACAGCCATGGTGCATGGGCAGCCATGGGTGGGCCCAGGAAAAGCACCATAAGTTCTTGCTCCCATCCACAGAATTGATAGCCTAGGCCCCAGGCTTCAGGCTGTCCCTGGCTTGAAAGTGGGGTTTCACCAGGGACCCACTCCTTTCCACCTAGGAACCTACCTGTCTCCTGCTGCCATCAACCTGCCATCCATGGCATCCACAGCACCCAGACTGTTTGTGCCAAGGGGCACCTGCCAGCCCGCATTGAGCTGCCTTCAGCTCTCCTTAGCCTCCCTCCCATACCCTGTCAGTGCTCAAAGTCTGGACGAGGCTGAGGTGGCAGGAGGCTGGCATGTCAGCACTGCCCTGAGCATGCACACACCCGGCCAGGTCATGACACTGCCTGGGCTTGATCTCAACTTTGCTCCAAAATTGAAGTGGGCACCAGGAGCAGGGAAAAGCCAGGTGGCAGCAGCAGACACTTTTGAGCCTGTGGGGGCAGGGGGGCTTCCCAGGCTCCTGAAAGCACAGGGATGCCTGGGTCCACAGCTGTGGCTGGGCAGACGCAGCTGTGCCCAGGAGGCAGCTTGGAAGGGGGCATGGCTCCTGCCTGTTCCCAGCTCCCACTGGCTCTGTGGAGCATGCATCCCCAGCTGCAACTCCCCTGCTGTAGCTGGCATCTTAGCAGCAGCTGCTCCAGGTGGGCCACTGCTGCCATCATTTTTACACCAAGAGTTAAGATTATTATATGATGTGTAAAGTGAGGTAGAATCGTGTTGATGAGCCAAGCTCAGATCCTGGCCTCAACACTTACTTGCTGTGTGACCTTGAGCATTTTACCTAACCTCTCTGTCTCAGTTCCTTTGCCTGTAAGATGGTGATAGTAACACCACCTACCTCATGAGTGCGTTGATAAATATCAGTAACTTAGAACTGTGCCAGGGCGAGCTCGATAGAAATGTTTGCTATTGTAACCTAACCCAGGTTGGTCTGCTTACTGCTCAAAAGCCAGACTCGAGAGACAAGGATTGGTGGAGGGAAAGGCAGGTTTATTCAGAGAGCCAGCAAAATCAAGAAGATAGTGGACTAGCATCCTAAAGTACCATCTTAAGTCAGCACAAATTTTAGGCTTTTTTTTATGTTAAGGGCAGAGGGAAGAGCAAGGGGTTGGTACCAAGGTGTGACTGACAACCACAGACATCTGGGTACAAGCAAGGGTCCCAGGAGGTTGGGAACTTCCTTGTCCTTGGTCAGGTCACAATACTCCTATAAATTTTTAGTAAAACGTAGTTAGTTGTTTATAACCTTTCCCTTTAATTTCAGAGTCAGTTTCGAAAACAACACGATTGCTGTTTTTACGTATTATCTCAATGCTTCAAAATCATCCTAGACTATGTGCAGGAAGGGGTGAAGTCCCCTTAAACGAATGGAGTTAGTTATGTTAGCTCTTTTGCTGTTTCACCGTTATGCTATTGTTATATTAAATGTTACATAATGTATGCATGTACATTGATATAGTTTGGATATTTGTCCCCACCCAAATCTCATGTTGAAATGTAATACCCAATGTGGGAGGTGGGACCATGGGTGCGGGTCCCTCATGAATGGCTTGGGCCATCCCCTTGGCGATGCGTGAGCTCTCACTCTGAGTTCACACAAGATCGGGTTGTTTAAAAGTGTGTGGCATCTCCTCCCCGAGTCTCTCTCTCTTGCTTCTGCTTCACAAGGTGACATGCCTACTCTCCCTTTAGCTTCTGCCATGACCGGAAGCTTCCTGAGGCCTCCCTAGAAGCTGAGCAGATGCCAGCACTGTGCTTCCTGTACAGCCTGCAGAACTGTGAGCCAATTAAACCTCTTTTCTTTATAAATTACCCTACCTTGGGTATTTCTTTATTGCAGTGCAAGAACAGCCTAGCACATACATGGATATATAATATGAGCTGGCACATCGAAGAAACTGAGCAAATGTTTAGCTGTTATTATGATGATTATATAAGATAATTTAATACAATGTCAAAATAGGTGGAAGTTAATCTCCATTTGCATTTCTGTGTGTCTTAGTTGGAGCTTCCTTGGGCTTTGGGTGACTTTATGTTGCATTTCCCCTCCTCAATCTCCTCCCCACCCCCAGTGATACCCTCGGTCCTTCCTCTGCAGCCCCACCCCAGCAGGGACACGAGAGGACATTTCCATTCCCCAAGTGAAATGCAGCTTGGTCAGGAGTTGGAGAATCGCAGTCTAATGAACTCCTGCGTCTGGACTGAGTTCTTGCTCCTGGATCTCTCCATCTGAGTCATGTCTTTACTCCCCAGTGTTGAGAGGTCCCAGTGCAAACCCACCCTCTGCCCTCACCTGGTCACACTTTGATCCTGTGGCCAGCTAAAACCATGCAGGCTCAAAGCTTTTGTGACCCCTTGAGTGCCTTTCTGACTTGTGCCTTCCCCCTCAACAGGGGCCTCACCACCACAGGAGTTGGCTGGGGTGTTTTCCAAACAACATGCTGGCCCTCCTTCCCTCTCGTGTCTCGCTCCTGTATCCCACTAAGACAACTGCCGTGGCCTCCTAATTTGGCCTCTCTGCCTCCAGGCTCTCTCCTCTAAGCCCTGCCGTGACCACATTCACCTTCTGGGAGCATTTCTCTCCACCCCATTGATGCCTGCCTTGCTGCAGCCACCACAGTCCCACCTGGCAGCTGCAGAAGCCTCCTAATGGATGTCCCAGAGCTGTCCATGTCCCCTCCAGGGCATCCTCCATGCTGTGCCCAGAGTGTTGTTTCTAAATTGCAGATGGGATCAAGTTGCTCCATAGCCCCCTATGACACTGAACACTCAGGTTCCTTGCCATGCACCGTGACAGGGGCCCATTTGTCTCTGAGCATCCCCTGCCACCCTCTTCCTTGCTCCTACCCTCCCCTCACACCAGCCTTCTCCTAGTCCCTTTTTTTTTTTTTGGCTTTATTGAGATATAATTGACAAACAAAAATGGCACAGATTCAAGGAGTACAGTGTTTTTTTTTTTTTTTTTTTATTTTAGGCAGGGTCTCACTGTGTCACCCAGGCTGGAGTGCAGGGATTGCAATCTCAACTCACTGCAACTTCTACCTCCTGGGCTCAAACAATCCTCCCACCTCAGCCTCCAGAGTAGCTGGGACCACAGGCATGTGCCACCACACCCAGCTAATTTTTGTATTTTTTGTAGAGATGCAGTCTTGCTATGTTGCCCAGGCTGGTCTCAAACTCCTGGCCTCAAGCAATCCACCCGCTTCAGCTTCCCAAAATGTTGGGATTATAGGTATGAGCCTCTGCACTCAGCCACAGTGTGACATTTTGATAAATGTATAACCACAGTCAGGCTAATTAATATACCCATCACCTCATACAGTTGCTATGTTTTGTGTGTTATGAGAACACTTAAGATCTCTTCTGTTAGCAAATTTCGAGTATACTGTTCATTCAGTGTTATTCACTATGGTCACTGGGCTGTATGTTAGGTCTTCAGAACTTATTCATCCTGCATAACTGGGACTTTGTACCCTTTGACCAACGTCTCCCAACCCCTCGTTCCTAGCTCCTGGCAAAAATTTCCAGTCTCCTGAGCCCTGCAAACTCCTTCCTTCTTCAGGGCCTTCACACAAGCATGGAAGGTTCATCTCCCAAGACTTTACTCCACATCACTCATGTACCTTTCAGGTCTCAGTTCCAATGTTATTTTCTTGGAGAGGTCTTCTGTAACTCCCAATCTCAATTAAGTTCCCAGCCCCTCATTATTCTCTAACAGGATTCTGCTTTTTTTTCTTCCTCTGCCTAATTATCATTTTAAATCAGGTATTATTATCTTTTTTTTGAGATGGATTTTCACTCTTGTTGCCCAGGCTGGAGTGCAGTGGCTCAGTCTCGGCTCACTGCAACCTCCGCCTCCCGGGTTCAAGCCATTCTGCTGCCTCAGCCTCCTGAGTAGCTGGAACTACAGACGCCCGCCACCATGCCAGGCTAATTTTTTGTATTTTTAGTAGAGACGGGGTTTCACCATGTTGGCTAGGCTGGTCTCGAACTCCTGACCTCAGGCGATCCACCCATCTCGGCCTCCCAAAGTGCTGAGATTACAGGCGTGAGCCACCGCGCCCGGCCAGGTATTGCTTTGTAAGTGTGCATGTTTCTTTATCATCTCTCTCCTGACTCTGCTGTAAGTTCTGTGGCAGCAGGACCCGTGTGTGTTTTTCTCACCACTGTGTACCCAATGCCTTGCACCTGGCACAGATAGCCACACTCCTATGTGTTGAATGACACTGTTGAATACATAAAAGAATCTGTGAGCTCACTTCTGTGCTCAAACACCCTCTCTGGCTCCTGCTATGTCACCCGGAGAAGCACAGTTTGTTTCCTTTGATACACAAGGCCCCAACCTTTCTTTCAAATCCAAATTCACATTATCACCCTTCACAATTCCATGCTTCAGAAACACAAACCTCCTTATATTTTATCTGTAGGTCCTGCACTTTTCTGCCTTGATGACATGATTTTACTGCTGCTTAAACTATTTCATGAGTGAATGAATGGCCCTAAATCAGGCCCAGTCTTCAGCCCACATCAAATGCCACATCCAGGGAGCCTCTTTAGATGCTCTCACTGCTGGAATTAATTCTGCCTTCTTCCCCCGTTCCTAACATGTTCGCTGTGGCAAGGAAGGGCATTTGTTGCTTTCTGCCGTCTTTAAGTTTCTTTCTGCACGTCTCTTCTTCCCTGTTAAACCACAAGTTTCTTGAGGGCAGGATCGATGCCCCAGTCACTTTTGTGTCTGCCACCGCGGCGCTTCAGATGCATCAGGTTTTCTTTGTAAGTAGACAAAAATCGCTTATGCAGTGTGGATTCAAAGTGATGGTGATGTTTCAAAGACCTGCAATAGTAGTTCCCTCTAGAGACACATGGGGGTGACCTAAACAAGCAAAGCTGTATTGGACTCTATCCGTTTGGATTCGTGTTTAAGCTGTTTTGAAGATGATGGGGCGTCTTTGAATTCTGTTTCACTGGTCATATTGACCAGCTGTGGATGACACAGGAAAGAAATGTAAAGGATGATTTAATGGGCCACATAAGAGAGTAAGTACATTAAATGCAGAGACAGCCTCTGTTCAGAGAGAAAAGGCAACACATGCTTTCTCTGAGTGAGGGCCCTGCGACCGCAGATGTGAATGTGATACTGCAATCCTGGACCTCCCAGGGAGGAAGGGCTGGGGGTTGCAGGGGGCGCCTTTCCAGCTCCCCCCTGCCCCCGCCCCCCCGCCCCGCCGTTCACGGAGAAATTGCCATTTAGTTGAGAAAATGCTGAAATGTATGTTGGGAACAGGCAATAGGATTTCAATTCCCCCATCAGATCCTCTGATTTTTCTTTTTCTTAAAGTACATGTGGTATTTTGAAGACCTGTCTTACGTGTAATAAAAACTCCTACCGGCCGGGTGCGGTGGCTCACGCCCGTAATCCCAGCACTTTGGGAGGCCCAGGCGGGTGGATCATGAGGTCAGGAGATGGAGACCATCCTGGCTAACAGGGTGAAACCCTGTCTCTGCTAAGAATACAAAAATTAGCCAGGTGTGGTGGCGGGTGCCTGTAGTCCCAGCTACTTGGGAGGCTGAGGCAGGAGAATGGCGTGAACCCAGGAGGCGGAGCTTGCAGTGAGCTGAGATCGTGCCGCAGCACTCCAGCCTGGGCGGCAGAGTGAGACTCTGTCTCAAAAAAAAAAACAACCAAAAACAAAAAAAAAACAAATCTCTTACCATTCTCTTTCAATCGCAAGTGTTGGTGGCAAATCTCCTTCATTAGTTTGCTTGAATTAGAGTTTTATTTCTATTTTTGAATGTAATCTTTCTTTCTTTTTGATTCTTTGTTTGTTTTTGGGGACAGGTTCTCATTCTGTCACCCAAGTTGGAGTGCAATGGCATGATCATGGCTCACTACAGCCTCGACCTCCTGGGCTCAGGTGATCCTCCCACCTCAGCCTCCCGAGTAGCTGGGACTATAGGCATTGACCACCATGCCTGGTTAATTTTTAAATTATTTTTGCAGAGAGGAGGGTCTCACTGTGTTGCCCAGGCAAGTCTTGAACTTCTGGGCTTAAGCAATACTCTCATCTCAGCCTCCCAAAGTGCTGGGATTACAACACCCGGCCATCTTTCTATTTGTAATGATGGGACATTATGTGGGAAATGGGCTGTGACAGCTTCGTCAGCTGGGCTAAATGGAGTTTTAAAAATTCTTGGTCTAAATGTGCAAAGCAGTAAATATAATTAATACGAGGCTGTCTGTACAACAATAGCCACATATGCTGCTACCTGGGGCACTTTGACAGGCTGAATTTACACGTGTCAAGCCATGACTTTCCTGACACCCATTTGCTTTCCTGTGCTACTGTAAGACCTTTACATTTTAGAATTTCCATGTCTATTTATTTGAACAAACTGAACTTCATGTTGAATAAACCGAAGAAGTTGGCAAAATTCAAAGGCACGTAGGGAACAAGTGTAAGGTGCAATTTCAAGTGGTTTACAAAGCTGAAATATAAACTCCTTTCTTTTCTCCACCTGTGCACCCACCCAGATGCTTCGTGCTTGTGTGTGTGTGTGTGTGTGTCTGTATATAATCGTATATTTGTATAAGTTAAAGACAGGGCTGAGTTTTATGTCTCGGTCAACATACTACAGCCATATTAACATGTCCTTCTCTCCAATTCCCACACGTGCAAATCATGGGGATCCCCAGAAAGTCTTTGAACTTGCACAATCCATGGAATTGGTCAGGAGGGATGGAACCAAGTATAACTAGATTTGAAAAACAGAGAGGCCCTAGTTTATATCTAAGTTCCACATATTTTTTAAATGTATATATTTTATAACATATAATATAAACATGGAATAAGATAGTGTAGTGCTTTGTAACCGGCTTTTCCCCCAGTACATTATTAATCCTTCCATGACACTAAATGATAAAACTATATGATAAAATAGAGTGATGCTTTTCAGGTCATTTGCAGGAAAATATTTCCTACCTCAGTGGACAAACTTTTACATAAATCGCTCTGCACATCTCTGATCTTTCACTTGGGTGAATTCCTGGAAGTGGTGTTGCTGGGTAAAAGGATAGGAACACAGTTGATAGCTTCTAGGTGTTTTTAAGAGAAAGGGTGTGACTGGCTTAGAAAGTACCTATTGGCCGGGTGTGGTGGCTTACGCTTGTAATCCCAGCACTCTGGGAGGCTGAGGTAGGAGGATCACTTGAACCCAGAAGTTCGAGACCAGCCTAGGCAACATGGCGAAACCCTGACTCTATAAAAAAATACAAAAATTAGCCTGGTATGGTACATGCACCTGTGGTCCCAGCTACCCAGGAGGCTGAGGTGGGAGAATCACCTGAAACCAGGGAGGTCGAGGCTGCAGTGAGCTGTGATCATGCCACTGCATTCCAGCCTGGGTGACAGAGTGAGATCTTGTCTCAAAAAATAAAATAAAGTAACCTATTGATGTGGTTGAATTTGCTCCATGAAGATGACAGTACCCACTGGATGCCTTACACTCTACATGCACACACAGCCTTTAGAATGAACAGCTTTTCAGGCAATTTCAAGACCTCCTCTGCATTTGCAATAATAACTAAGGGAAATGTGGCTGCATTAGTCAGGGTTCTTCAGAGAAACAACCAATAGGAAATGTTTGTATAAAAATATTAAAATATGTTACAAATATATAGAAGGAGATTTATTATGGGGAATGTGTTCATGTGATTATGGAAGCTGAGAAATCCCACGGCCGGCCATCTGTGAGCTGGAGACCCGGGCAAGCCGGTGCCATCATTCAGCCCAGGTCCGCAGGCCTGAGGGAGCCGGTGGCCTAAGTCCCAATGGGGGAGATCCCAGGCGGAGGGCAAGAGGAGAGGATAGAAGACAGCCCAGTTCAAGGAGTGAGGCAGGAAAGAAGGGGTGTGTTTTTTCTTCCTCTGTTCTATTTAGGTCCTCAACAGATTGGATGAGGCCCGCCCACGTAGGGGAGACTGATCTAGTTTCCTGAGCCCACTGTCTCAAATGCTGGTTTCTTCCAGAAACATCCTCACAGACACACCCAGAAATAGTGTCAAATCTGGGCACCCAGGCCCAGTCAAACTTACACGTAAAATTATCCATCATGTGGCAGAGCTAAGGATGGGCAGAGGGAACAGAACAGGGAAATCTCCAAATCACTGCAGCTTTGCTGGGCTGGTTAATCTTTCCAGGGATTCCACAGATTGGTTTGCAAAAACTCCAGCGAAAGACCCATGCATTGCAACACTAAGGTTAGATCACCAATGATTTGAGAAATAGCACCTTACAAAATGCCTCTTTGAGTATTATCCAATCTCAGTTTGTTTAAGTCCCTTTGTAACATAAGAAATGTGGTCTGTAATCCCAGCATTTTGGGAAGTCAAGGCGGGAGGATCCCTTGAGCCCAGGAGTTCAAGACCAATCTGGACAATGTAGTGAGACCTCATCTCTACAAAAAACAAAAAAGCCTGGTGTAGTGGTGCGTACCTGTGACCCAGCTACTTGGGAGTCTGAGGTGGGAGGATCACTTGAGTCCAGGAGGTAGAGGCTGCAGTGAGCTATGATCATGCCACTGTACTCCAGCCTGGGGGACAGAGTGAGACCCTATCTCTCTGTCTCTCTCACTCTCTCTCTCTCTCTCTCACACACACACACACACACACACACACACACACACACACACAGAAATATCTTCCTCTTGTCCAAGGGACTAAAGCAGAACATAGCGTCATCTTCCATCTCCCAGGTCAGAAGAAAGAGGTCTCCTTGCTTTGGTTTGCACTATCCTTTGTCTGTGAGGAAACTGCCTCTGACCTCCTTCAGTTAGAAACACCTGCCCTTTTTTTTTTTTTCAAAAGTGTTGCTCATATTCCTCTTTTGCACTGTGTCTGTCTTCCTGCCTGCCCACCTTGACTCCCTCATCACCACCACCATCACTGGACCATATAGTGAGACCTTGTCTCTACCAATGACCCTGCCATCCTTGGCATGGAGGAAGGGGAAATGAACTGAGCCTGGAATCCAGACATCTAGATCTGTCTAGATTTGTCTAGAATTGTCTCTAGATTTGTCTACTCACCTGTCAAATGGGAGAATTAAGCTCCTTGAGATGTTTTCACACAGTTTGATGGGAAACCCTCGGGCTTCTAAGGAGAAAGCTTAGGACCGTGAATTGCAAGAAGATGGTGCTGAGAGGCCCGAGGGGACAGGTACCAACCTCAGAGTTGGCCTCAACAGTCCCCCGCTTACCTGTTTGATATATTGGGTTCTGTCCATTTTTTTTTTTTGAGATGGGGGTCTCACTATGTTGCTCAAGCTGGTCTCAAACTCCTGGCCTCAAGCAATCCTCCTGACTCAGCCTCCCAAGTAGCTGGAATCCCAGGCACGTACCACCACACTGTCCAAAATGTGTTTGAAGCCTGAGTTCTGCTGATCAAATACAAACCAGTTTCGAAGGCCATTAAACAAGAGATGTGACAGAGGTGGAGGAGGGACTTTTAGATACAACATTTTAAGATTTTGCGTCAGCCTCAAGAAAGCGAAGAGCTTAATTTTTCTCCCAGGGAACTTCGCATGAGGAGGAGGGAGAGATTTTATGAATGACAGAAACTTACTACGCTGAGTCACTTCTTTCTTTTGTCAGAAATGCATCCTTCAAGGAGAGCTTTAAGCGCATGTGCACAGCCAAGGTTGCAGCTTGGTGTCTGAACGCATCTCCTCCACTTCCCAGTGATCAGTATTCACTGCCACTCCTGACTTTGCATTTTGGGGCATTCGTCCTCTGTGGGAGGCCCTGATTATTCATCCATTTCCACGACACATGGTGTCGTATGATTAGTGCCTGTTCCGCAGAATTGGAAACTGGGGCGCAGAAAGGATGAGCCACTGACCTCAAATGTCCCACATTGTCTCTCTGAGCCAGTGCATCAGGATCTGAGCTTCCTAAAAACAGTTCCCTTCTGCTAAGCACTGCCCTGCCACAGAGAGACTTAGTTCTCTTTTCTGATCTCCCGGTGGCCCCCAGACTGCTTCTTTCTCTTTTTATTTTCTTTTTCTGGGAAACCAGTGCATTATCATTTGGCAGGCTATGGGCTGGGAAAGGCAGGGCCTCCGAGTCCAAAGCCCACCTTCTGAGTGCAGGTGAGAGGGTGGGGACACCTGTCCTGTGTGGCTGGGGAAAATGAGGAGGTGGTTGTTAAGGTTCACGCTTGTTGCCTGAACCTCATCTCATCGAGCCTAAAGTCCTTTATTGCCTTGGGGCATCCACATGTTGAAGCAAACGGCTTAAAGAATGTTACAGAGTAATCCAGGAAGAACAGAGCAGGCAGTTGAGTTTCAAGATACTATTTAAACGTATAGCAGAGTTCATGACGTGATAGCCCAGGTTTATTTCTTTTGCAAGAGTTGAAATTTTTGGAAAGGAAAAGGATTTTCAAGTTCCAGAGTCTTAACTCTGAATGCTAATAAGGAAAGGCCAAGGAACTCACCACCCAAAGCTTATGCCATAAGGCCAAGCTTCCCAGCCAAGGGGCGATGACAACACCATGTTCGTCAAGCACACTGAGTCACGCCCTGCCACCGCCCAGGGTGAGCGTCCACTGTGCCCTACCTGGCCACCTGAGGCTGAAGGGGTCAACATCCTTGTTGCTACTCAACATCGTGTGGTTCTGCCAAGTAAACCACAAAATGCAAAGAATCCATGATGTGAGACCTGTGTTTCCCATAAATAAGAGATAAAAATAACATCTAGGCTGGGCCTGGTGGCTCATGCTTATAATCCCAGCACTTTGGGAGGCAGAGGTGGGCAGATTGCTTGAGGTCGGGAGTTTGAGACCAGCCTGGCCAACATGGTGAAACCCCATCTCTACTAAAAATACAAAAATTAGCTAGGTGTGGTGGTGCATGCCTATAATCCCAGCTACTTGGGAGGCTGAGGCAGAAGAATCGCTTGAGCCTGGAAGGTGGAGGTTTCAGTGAGCCGAGACTGTGCCACTGCACTTAAGCCTGGGTGACAGAGTAAGACTCTGTCTCAAACAATAAAAAAAAAATAAAATAAATTAAAAAACTTTTAGACCGCAGAGAACAGAGAGAGACTGTGATGTAGATACCCTACAAAGGGCTTTTTCTCTGGTAGAGCCTGGAAGGGACTAGAAGTAAACTTTTTAAAAATTCAAGATAGAATCGTGATGAGCAAGCCTCATGCACATGCATGAGGATGGCTACTACCAAAAAGGCAGAAGATAACAAGTGTTGGTGAGGAAGCAGAGAAACTGGAACTCTCATGCAGTGGGGTTGAGAAGGTAATATAGTGCAGCCGCGGCTGGGCGCAGTGGCTCACGCCTGTAATCCCAGCACTTTGGGAGGCCGAGGCAGGCGGATCACGAGGTCAGGAGATCGAGACCATCCTGGCTAACATGGTGAAACCCTGTCTCTACTAAAAATACAAAAATTAGCCAGGCGTGGTGGTGGGCGCCTGTAGTCCCAGCTACTCGGGAGGCTGAGGCAGGAGAATGGCGTGAACCCGGGAGGCGGAGCTTGCAGTGAGCCGAGATCGCGCCACTGCACTACAGCCTGGGCGACAAGAGCCAGACTCTGTCTCAAAAAAAAAAAAAAAAAAAAAAAAAAAAAAAAAAAAAAATAGTGCAGCCGCTGAGGAAAACAGCATGGCTCTTCCTCAGAAAATTACACATGGAATTACCACATGATCCAGCAATTCCGCTTCTGGATATGGTCCCAAAAGAACTTAAAGCAGAGACTCAAAGAGATATTTGTGCCCTGATGTTCATAGCAGCACTATCTGCAATAGCCAAAAGGTGGAAGCAACCCAAATGTTCATTGACAGATGAAAGAATAAACAAGCTGTGGTCTAGCCATACAATGGAATATGACACAGCCTTAGAAGAGGAAGAAATTCTGCCATGTGCTACAACATGGATGAACTGAGGACATTATGCTAAGTGAAATAAGCCAACACAAAAAGACAAATGCTATACGATTCCCCTTACTGGTTCCCATTCTCGTTGCTGTACTGAAAGTGGTCAAATTCATAGAAACAGAAAGTAGAATGGTGGTGGCCAGGGGCTGTGGGAGGGGGAAATGGAGCGTTGTAATTTGTTTTTGACAGAGTTTCGCTCTTGTTGCCCAGGCCAGAGTGCGATGGCGCAACCTTGGCTCACTGCAACTGCCGCCTCCTAGGTTCAAGCGATTCTCCTGCCTCAGCCTCCCAAGTAGCTGGGAATACAGGCGCCTGCCACCACGCCCGGCTAATTTTTGTATTTTTAGTAGAGACGGGGTTTCACCATACTGGCCAGGCTGGTCTCAAACTCCTGACCTCAGGTGATCCGCCCACCTCGTCCTCCCAAAGTGCTGGGATTACAGGCGTGAGCCCCTGCGCCCGGCTGAGAGTTGTAGTTTAATGGGTACAGAGTTTCAGTTTTGCAAGATGAAAAGTTTCTGGAGATAGATGATGGTGAAGGCGGCACCACAGTGTGAATGTGCTTTGTGCCACTGAACTGTAGACCTCAAAATGGCTGAGATGGTAAATTTTATGTACTATGTGCACTTTACCACAATTTAAAAACAATTCAACACAAATGATTTAAAAAAAGTTCAAAATAGATTAGGAGGATCTGGGAAAAGCTCATGTCTTGGAGAAGTCACCTCTGCCAGAGCCAGTGGCATCTGTGCAGATGCCTGGAGGACAGAAGATGGCCCCTGCTCACCCCACCCCTGCAGCAATGGCTTGCCCTTCTGGGAGAGAAGTGGCGACAGGGAAACCCTGATCCGACTAATTCAAAATGACTGGGGAAGTCAGTAATATGACTTGGGTTTTCCTGGAAGTGACAAGATTATTTCTGCTGTCAAGACAGAAATGACATTACCATAGAAAAATACAGAAAGCCTACATCTGCATGCTTGAGGTTTGTGACCATACAACTCACACTCCAGGAGAAAGCAGAGGAACACAGAACGTTGGAAACAATATGGCTTTTCCTCAAACAATTAAACAGAATTACTATATGATCCAGCAACTCCACTTCTGGGTACAGACTGGAAAGAATTGAAATTAGAGGGTCAAGGAGATATTTGTACCCTGATGTTCATAGCAGCATTATTCACAATAGCCGAAAGGCAGAAGCAACCCAAATGTTCATTGACAGATGAATGGATAAACAAAACGTGGTCTATCCATACAGTGGACTATTATTCAACCTTAAAAAAGAAGGAAATTCTGCCATGAGCTACACCACGGATGACCATAAAACCCACACTTCAGGAGAAAACAGAACACACACCAGAAGAAGACAGAGCCATGGCTGGATTTGCACCCAGCGCTCAGGCTTCCTCACAAGATGGCGGCAGCTCAGCCATCTGGCCACTACTTTGAGAGTCACTTCCTTTCTTCAGCTGGTCTCAGCCAGACTGACTTCCTCAGGAAAGCTAACTGGTAAAAAGGAGCTCAGTGCAAACAACATTCTGAGTCACCTGCCAGTACAGACCCTTCTCCATTTTACAGGGTTCAAGTGTTGTAGATTTGTCTGTGATGGATCCTGACATAAAGTTTGAGATTTTTTGAAATTTGGTCGGAAGGTAGGTCTAAAAAACAATACTGTATTTGACTGTATTGCTCGTCCCCTCTCCTATTCCTTCTGAAACAAATTATCCCGTTTGTTACTGCAGCTGTATCCCACTTATCACTGAGTGGGGTCGCATGTATGTTCATACTGACACTGCTGCCTGGCTACGTTTTTATCTTGCTTTACTATAAAAGTAAGTAAGCCCCTTTCCCGGGGTCACCTCCTGAGCGTTTCTGGGACCATCCGAGGATGCCAGCGTGTCTCACACCCTATCCTGGTTGTTGCTCACCCTGCTATTTGCTCCAGCACTCTGAGGTGTGCCTTGGCCACCGCCAGCCATGGCTCCCTCCCCTTCCCGCGGGAGTGCCTCCCACAGTTTCTGGAACAAGAAATTCCAGGGCTTTCGCCCAAGTGTGGGCACGGTTCAAGTCAGTGGTAACTTTCAGTGAGACTTCATTTTTAAGAGACTGTTCCACAGAGAATGACAGCACAGTGAGTGGCCCGGAGCAGTGCTGGGTAAATATTTGCTGAATAAATGAACTACGCTGTCAGCCCACAGGCCTAGAGTGAATGACTCTTTGTCTATCAGGGTTCTGTGAGGCAGGAACAAACTCACCCTTGAACCGTCCTGACTTTGACCTTGCAGTCCAGCTCCACTTCCTCACCTGGCAGGGACCAGAGGAAGGAAGCCGTTTTGCTGTTTCTCTCTTTCTCCCACCTCCCTCTCTGCCTTTGCTTCCTAACCCCAGCATGGGTCTCTTCTAGAATGATAGATGGGGAAGGCACCCCTTACTCATGCCCAGAGGCCTACCAGGTAGACAGTAAGAGGATTTTGTGGCCCAAACTTGGCCCATTCCAAGTAATTCAATTGTGCGCACACCGTGGCACCTGCCAGGCAGGCACGGCCAGCCCAGGGGCTTCCACAGCCTCCGGGGTAGCAGGAGGTGAGGCTCCTTCCCCCAGAGAGAATCAACAACTCACACAACAAAACTCAACAACAACAACAACAACAACAACAAACAGGAACGACCTCCTCCCCCATTCATCACCAAAACACTGTGCTTCGGTTCCTGCCAAGTGCCCTCCAAACCCAGGCAGAGAAAGGAGGCACCCTTGAAGACTCAGAACCTTAGAGAACCCTCTGAAGTTTTAAACCACCAAAGTCAGCTTCTCAGCGAACAGCATCTCCCAAACAAGGGCGCACGTTTTAGCTTTACACTGTTTTCCTTTTTACAGAGATGGCAGGGTGGGGGGCGGGGGTGGGGTCTTGCCTTGTTGCCCAGGCTGGTCTCAAACTCCTGACCTCAAGTGATCTGATCCTCCCGCCACGACCTCCCAAAGTGCTGATTGCGGGCGTGAGCCACCGTGTTGACTGAGCTTCCCACTTTGCACACCTGACACCATAGGGTGATTTTCCCTAAGCAGAGGGCAGTTCTGCCTGGCAGGGAGGATTCCAGTGTCTCTCCAGGATGCTCAGTGACAGTTTAGTCCTCAGTGGGGCCCTTCCTCCTCCCTCTTTCCCTCCTGTGGGCATTTTCCTGCTGTCTTTGTGAGGTGGGGTGCAGGCACACTGCAGAGAAGCTGCAGCTCCCTGTCTGGTCCCGTGAAGTGGGCCCTACTGTGTCTTTGATCTTGACTGGCTCCTCCTACTCCAGTTCCCCGGATCAATTCAGCTCAGGGTCCAGACTTAGCTATGACCTGCCCCTCTCCTGCCCTTCTCACTGCTTCCCCCCAACCACTGCCTGCCTTCCCTCCATTCTGATGGGACCTCCACGTCCTCTGCACCTGACACCCCCTCTTGCATCCCGCCTGTTCTTTCTGGGCATGGGTGTCAACAATAGTCCCCTGCTTTTTTTTTTTAAACAGAGTCTCACTCTGTTGCCCAGGCTGGAGTGCAGTGCTATGATCTTGGCTCACTGCAATCTCCGCCTCTTGGATTCAAGCGATTCTCTTGCCTCAGCCTCCTGGTAGCTGGGATTACAGGCATGTGCCACCGCGCCCAGATAATTTTTGTATTTTTAATAGAGACAGGATTTTGCCATGTTGGCCCAGCTGGTCTAGAACTCCTGACCTCAAGTGATCCTCCAGCCTTGGTCTCCCAAAGTGAACAGCCCCTTTCTTAATCTGGGCTCCATCCACTATCTGGAGTTTTCTCTGCAGGCATCCTGTGTGGTTCCAACCACTCTCCAGAACCAGCTGGAGACAGAAAACAAGTTATTCGCCATATGTTTTCCCTTTTCTGTCCATCCTTCCCAGTCCCTTTGTCTCTCTCTCTCTCTCAGATGGGACAGGTAGCTTCCAGCAGGCTGAATGCATCTTTTGCACTGCAACAGAGAGCGTGCATTGCTGCTGTGAGTTTTGGATGGCCGAGGTCCCAAGCAGCCTCCCCTTTGGCTGCTCGTAGGCTCTGGCCCTTGGTCAGCTTGTCCCACAAGGGAAGGAAGCAGGGTCCCCGGGGGAGGTGGCTGATACAAAGATGGCCCCTCTGTCCAGCCAGAGATCCTGGGCCTGCTGGCCGGCAGGGATTGAAGCATAGAGGTCCCTCACTGTCCCCAGTGCCAGCGGGGGCTTTGCCCCCCTCTCCCCCGTCACTCCCTGCCATGCCAGCTCCGTTTATGAAAGGACAGTTCTTTATTCAGGGCCAAATGTAGCTTCCACTCCACCCATCCTCAGAGGCGCTTCTTAGTCTCGAGCATGTCTGTGGTGCAAAGGCATCACCCCTGTATTTGTGGGTGAATTTTCAAGCACATTTGCAGGGGGGACTGGGACCAGAGCCCGGGGTTCTGCTTGGCTTCTGTCCTTGGACTGAGGTTTCCTCCTGGGGATGGGTGCTCAGTGCTGGGCTGAGGCCAGCCTTAGAAGCCCCTCTGTTTGGAATTCCAGAGAAGGCTTTCCAGACTTTTCCGGCCATCAGGTCAGAGGAGAAGATCTGCCCCACGCCATTCAGAGGCTGGGACATAAGGGCCCTGATGAATCAGTGTCTTTATTCTCTAACACTCCCCCGTCCTGAACTGGCCCCTGCAGAATCCAGCAGGGATTTTTCCCAACCAATACCTTCAAGTCTTTCAAAACATCCATACTTTTTTTCTCCACCGCACCCAACAGTAGACGCCTGCTGTCTCCTGTGACGTTAACAACAGTTCCTAATGAGGATAAGGGAATTCCAGAAGGCTAAGAACAGGCTTGGGGTGCCCACGCCTTATCCCAGACAAACACCCCTGTCTCTCTGGGCTCCCTTCTCCCCAGGCGTGGCTGGAGTCTGGCAGATTCTTTGAAGCATACGTGTGGTCCTGGTGCATGGGAGTGCGTGGGAATATGCGTGGGCGTCCTTTTATCTAGATTGCCATGGCTACCCAGGTTTCCTTCACTAGTGCATGTACACTCCGTGGGGGAGAGTTCAAACACATCCTCTCCCGGCTGAGGCTTCACGCCAATTCCACTTCTGCTTCTTGTGATTTCATACAAGCAGGGCGCATACTGGGTCTTTGTGCCTGGAGTTCTGGAAACACCCACACCTTCACCATAGTAGACTTCTGAGGGGGGTACGGCACAGAGAAAGAACTGGAGCTGCGGGGTGCCTGGGGATGCCCCAAATAAGAGATGTTTCTCAAAGGCAACAAATGCAGCAAGGATTCTGTGAGTTTAAGGTGTCTTTTCAGGATGAAAGGAAACATATGTTGATGTTTATAGTGACTCAGTGGCGGAGAAGCCTCCATGCAAATGGAAAAAAAAAAATGCACAGGCACAGCCTTGTTCCACGTGTTCTTGGAGTTACACCAAAGTGGGTGAGAAAGTGATAAGCCTCCTGGGAGAGCCCAGAGATCCTGACTGGAGCCGACCTTCCCTCGTAGGGGACAAACCCCACGGTGCTGGCCTCTCTGCTGGAGCAGCTCTGGGTATGGGATGCAGAGAAGCTGTTCATGTTCAGAGGTCTCCTAAGACGTTCCCAAGGGTCTCCCCAGACATAGGTGGATCCACGAGCCGCCCTGCCTCTGCTCTACACCTGCCTTTCTTTCTTGGGGTGTCAGAATCTGCTTCTAGCTCCCGCCCCTGCAGAAAATGTGGGGGCAGGGAGATGGTGACTGTGGAACACCAAGGGGCCTCTGTGTAGGAATCTCAAGACTCCACCATGCTTCCAAGACGTGATGACACAGTGGACAACTTTTCTTCCAGCTGGCACAGGCTTGGGGGATCAGGAGTTCTTCCTGGGGGTCCCAGCAGTCCTGAGACTTTTCCTCTGATCCTCGGGTGTCTTAGTCTACTTTGTGTTGCCGTAAAGGAATGCCTGAGACTGGGTACTTTAGAAAGAAAAGAGGTGTATTTTTGGCTCACAGTTCTGCAGGCTGTACGAGAAGCAGGGCACCAGCATCTGCTTCTGGGGAGGCCTCAGGAGGCTTTTACTCAGGGTAGAAGGTGAAGGGGAAGCAGGAATTTCGTGGTGAGAGAGGGAGCAAGAGAGAGAGAGAGAGCGCACAAGGTAGGGGGAGGTCCCAGACTCATTGGATCTCATGGTAACTCATTACTGGGGGGGGGATAAAAGGGTGGGGACACCAAGCCATTCATTAGGAATCGGGCCCTATGACCCAAACACCTCCCATCAGACCCCACGTTCAACACTGGGGATTACGTTTCAACATAAGACTTGGAGAAGACAGACATCCAAACCATATCACCAGGGCAGGCTTCTGCTGTGGAGTTCCCCCTCTCTTGTGTTCTCTTTCCTCCCACCGTAAATAATAACAATAATAGAGATTATTCTCTCACTCAGTGAATATTGAGTGAGTACTTGCTAGGCACCAGGCCCGGCCCATGTCTGGGACATGGCAGTCACCTTGTATGTGTAGCGTGCCTTCCAGTTTACAAAGCACTTGCAGTTCAATCACCTCATCTTTTTTTGTTGTTCCTTATGCGATTTTTTTTATTGTGGTTAAAAAAAAAAACACATGAAATTTGCCAGCTTAGGCCAGGCGTGATGGCTCACACCTATAATCTCAGCACTTTCGGAGGTCGAGGCAGGAGGATCGCTCGAGCTCAGGAGTTCTAGACCAGCCTCGGCAACATGGAAAAACCCCATCTCTACAAAAAATACAAAAAATCAGCCGGGCATGGTCGTGGGCGCCTGTAGTCCCAGCTACTTGGGAGGCTGAGGTAGGAGGATCGCTGCAACCCAGGAGGCAGAGACTGCACCACACCACCATACTCCAGCCTGGGCGACAGAGCAAGATTCTGTCTTAAAAAAAAAACATTGCCAGCTTAACCTTTATTTATTTATTTATTTATTTATTTATTTATTTATTTATTTATTTATTTTGAGACAGAGTCTTGCTCTGTTGCCCAGGCTGGAGTGCAGTGGCATGATCTCAGCTCACTGTAACCTCTGCCTCCCAGGTTCCAGTGATTCTCCTGCCTCAGCCTCCTGGGTAGCTGGGATTACAGGCACGTGCCATCATGCCCAGCTAATTTTTGTATTTTTAGTAGAAATGGGGATCCACCATGTTGGCCAGGCTGGTCTTGAACTCCTGACTTCAGGTGATCTGCCTGCCTCAGCCTCCCAAATTGCTGGGATTACAGGCGTGAGCCACCATGCCTCGCCGGGCTTAACCATTTTTAAGTGTACAGTTCAGTAGTGTTAAGCACATTCACATTGCAAACAATCTCTAGAAGTTTTTCAAAAAAACCGAAAAAGTTGCAAAACTGAAACTTTATACCCACTAAGTGGTAACTCCCCATTCTTGTGGTTACCCTAGCCGCTGGTAACCACCATTCTCCTTTCTGTTTCTGTGAATTTGACTACTCTGGGAACCTTAGATAAGGGAAATCATACAGTTCTTGTTTTTTTGTGACTAGCTTCTTTCACAGCATGATGTCTAAGGTTCATCCCCATGGTACCATGCGATCCTAATGTTTTTAAACCTCCACAGCAGCCCTTTCAAGTTAGATTTCGCATTTTACAGGTGAGAAAATTGAGACTCAAAAGGAATAAGCAATTGTCCATAGCTAGCGTCATGGATTGACACTAGCTTTGAAGGTTGGTCCCCACCTCCAAAGACAGGCCTAAGTCCCAAGTCCTGGTACCGTAAACGTGTCCTTATGTGGAAATAGGTCTTTGCAGATGTAATTAAGTTCTGGATCTCGAGATGAGATCTTCCTGAATTTGGGGTGAACTCTAAATTGTATGACTGATGTCCTCATAAGAGAAGGGAAAGGGAAGCCAGGCACAGTGGCTCACACCTGTAATCCCAGCACTTTGGGAGGCTGAGGCGGGCAGATCATCTGAGGTCAGGAGTTTGAGATCAGCCTGACCAACATGGAGAAACCCTGTCTCTACTAAAAATTCAGAATTAGCTGGGTGTGGTGGTGCACGCCTGTAATCCCAGCTACTCGGGAGGCTGAGGCAGGAGAATTGCTTGTACCCTGCAGGCAGAGGTTTCAGTGAGCTGAGATCGCGCCATTGCACTCCAGCCTGGGCAAAAAAGAGCGAAACTCCATCTCAAAAAAAAAAAAACAAAAAAAAAACCCAGAAGGGAGGGGGAGATTTGAGATACATTGAAAAAGTTTCAGGGAAGGAGAGCATGTGGTTATACAGGTAAGTTATGCTACCATAAGCCAAGGACTAGCACAGTCCACCTGAAGCTGGAAGCGCCAGGAAACATCCTCCCCTGGAGCCCGGGAAGGGAGAGTGGCCCTGCCGATGCCTTGATTTCAGACTTCTGCCCTCTAGAACCATGAGACCATACATTTCGGTTGTTTTAAGCCTCCCAGTGTGTGAGAATTTGCAATGGCGGCCCAAGCAAAAGAATACAGTGAGCAGGTCGGGCACGGAGGCTCGCACCTATAATCTCAGCACTTTGGGAGGCCAAGGTGGGAGCATCACTTGAGCCCAGGAGTTTGAGACCAGCCTGGGCAATATAGCAAGACCCTGATTCAATCAATCAATAAAAGTAAAGAGCACAGCTAGTGAGCTGAAAAAAAAAATGACTAAAATCCAGATGCTGCGACTTCTAGTCTAGAGTTCTTTCTATGAACGTGGGTCAGGAGAGAACTCTGGCTGGGGTACAAGGGTTTCTGCAAGATCATGTTTGTAGGAGAGAAAAGAGCTAGTCTGTGAGACTGTTCTCCCCAGCTCCCATCTCCCTTCCATATGCAGCCATCCTCCTCTCTCTTCCCCACACTTCCTAAACTTGCAGGGGCCCCAGAATTTAAGCTGTATGGAGGATGGATTGAAAGTACCGTGTGCCAGACAGCTTGTGTCTGCCCCCGCAGACCCCTCTCTGCCTTCTCCACCAGGATCTCTGAAACGAGCAACAGGTTCTCTGGCCTCCTGGCTTCCGGGTGAGGCCAAGGAGTGTGAGGTCAGTGGGCTTATTCCTCCAGCTGGCTTCCCACCTAGCAGGGGATATCCCTGGGTGAGCTGGGTCCCTTAGCTGGAGGCCACCACTCCTCTGAGCCTCTTCCAGGGGTCCCTAAGCAGTCCCTGCCTTCTCCCTTGTGGTCCAGGCAGTGGTTACCACTGTACCCCTTCTCTAGGTCCCCCTCACTCGCACCTTGGCAGATAATCCTTTCATCATACCTACTGGGCACGTACAGCTGTTTCCTGCTGGAATCCACTGGAAGGTAAACTCCACGGGGGCACCAGTGTTGGTCTATATTTGTTTACTGCTGTATCCCTAGTGCTTAGAATAGTTCCTAGAAAATATTTCAACAGGAAATATTTGTTGAGTGAATGCGGCTGGACGCAGTGGCTCACACCTGTAATCCTAGCACTTTGGGAGGCTGAGGCGGGTGGATCACTTGAGGTCAGGAGTTAGAGACCAGCTTGGCCAACATGGTGAAACCCCATCTCTACTAAAAAAATAAAATAAAATAAATAAAATAAAATACACAAATTAGCCAGGCATGGTGGCAGGTGCCTGTAGTCCCAGCTACTTGGGAGGCTGAAGCACTAGAATTGCTTGAACCTGGGAGGCAGAGGTTGCCGTGAGCCGAGATTGCGCCACTGCACTCCAGCTGGATGACAGAGTGAGACTCTGTCTAAAAAAAAAAATGAAAAAAAGAAATATTTGTTGAATGAATGGAATGAAATACCCAGGTAGGCCCTAGGTCTGTCTGTGTTATCAATTCCTAGCATTAATTTTTCTCTTCACTGAGATAACAATTGTAGGCAACCACCAATTTAAAATATGACTGAAGTATTGTTTTGCTATTATTATGAATGGTTACTCATCAACTGTAAGGTCATTGTGTGAGACTCCTCCATCCCACCTCACATTTGGGTCATACAGCAGGACCTGCAAGAAACCTGGTGGGTCCATACAATTTGTCTGGAGAACCTTGAGCATCTCCCTAATATGAAAACAATCTGAACTTGAACCCGCTGTCCCTCTGCCGTCTGCCCTTTTCTCTTCTTCCTTTGCAGCCGGAGCGAATGGCATTGGCCATGCTTGTCACCTCTCTGCCCTTCCTCAATGTCCTTCCTGTTTCCACGCTCAGCAGCAGCAAGTCTTCTGCTTCCAAAGGTCACAGATGGCTCCTTTATTTACAGAGCCAGCCAGCCGTCTTCCTCCGCCCCCTCCCCGTGTGCGGGGTGTTCACCCTTGGTCCACTTTCCACTTCTTGGACGGCTGTCTTCGATGAGCTTCCTTCAGGCTCTGCCCCTGGTCCAGGTGCTGCAGCTGGAGCCAGCAAAGATATTGGACAGACAAACCGCCTGCCAGCCAAGAAGCAGCTGGTGCTTCCCAGGTCCCCCTGGCCCTCCAGCAGGTTCTGGTTTCCTAGGCGATGCCGGAGATGGGTATTCCTTCTGGCTCTCCTCCCTGCTCTGCCTTGTTCCTCCCAGTTTCATGTTGCTGCAGGCTGGTCCCACCCTGAGCCCTACTCCTTGGCTTTGTTTCATCTCCCATGCATAAGCGAATCATTCAGGCACTGTCTGGTGCCCCGATACTGTCTCTTTGTGGGCCCTTGGTTTCCTCAAACTCTCATGATTACTTCAAATATCTCCCTTCCTCCTCCATGCTGATTGAGAGCCTGACCCTGCCCTGGCCTTAAGGAATTCATGATCAATGGTAATTTCACTGTCTGCCCTCTTTGGAAGAGCTGCAGGAACCCAGGGAGGCTGAGGCAGGAGGACGGCTTGAACCCAGGAATTTGAGGCTGCAGTGAGCTATGATCACACCACTGAATTTCAGCCTGGGTGACAGAGTAAGGCTAGATCCTGTCTGTAAAAAAATAAAAAATAAAAATAAATGAACAAATAAAATGAGTTGTGACCATATGCACACATCAGGAGGAGCACCTCCTACTGGCCGCACAGGGCCGGACCTGCCCTGGTATGTCCATGTCTGGCAGCTGCCTCTGAAATTGGAGATTCTGCACATCTCTGTTTCTGTGACCACCTGATTGTTGAGTCCTAAAATTCTGCAGATCTAAGTGATCTGAGAATCCAGATCAGGGAAGGAAGGCCCTGCACTTTCTTTTCTCGGGTGGCCATGGGAACTGTGGTTCGAATTTGTTTCCAACTCTGGTGCAGAAGCCACGTGCAGTGCTCTCTGGGATGAGGGACAGGGAGCGCCAGCAGTGTTTGTGTTTTGCTTTTGTTTATTTTTTGGCAGTCTGCAACTCGTCCAGCACAGCATTTTCCAAAGCGTGTCCTTGTTATATGAATAGATCTAGCTCCTCAGACTGTCATTGTTTCTCAGGAAAAGTGATATGATTTGGCTGTGTCCCCACCCAAATCTCAAATCGTAGCTCCCATAATTCCTATGTGTTGTGGGAGGGGCCTGGTGGGAGGTAATTGAATCATGGGGGTGGGTTTTTCCTGTGCTGTTCTCCTGATAGTAAGTCTCATGAGATCTGATGGTTTTTCTTTTCTTTTTTTTTTGAGACGGAGTCTTGCTCTGTTGCCAGGCTGGAGTGCAGGGGCACAATCTCGGCTCACTGCAACCTCCACCTCCTGGGTTCAAATGATTCTCCTGCCTCAGCCTCCCAAGTAGCTGGGACTACAGGCGCACGTCACCACACCCAGCTAATTTTTGTATTTTTGGTAAAGGTGGAGTTTCATCATGTTGGCCAGGATGGTCTCGATCTCTTGACCTTGTGATCTGCCCTCCTTGGCCTCCCAAAGTGCTAGGATTACAGGTGTGAGCCACTGTGCCTGGCACCCGGTTTTATAAAGGGGAGTTCTCCTGCACATGCTCTCTTGCCTGCTGCCATGTAAGATGTGCCTCTGCTTCTCTGCCTTCCACCATGATTATGAGGCCTCCCCAGCAACGTGGAACTGTGAGTCCATTAAACCTCTTTCCTTTATGAATTACCCAGTCTCAGGTATGTCTTTATTAGTAGCATGAGAACAGACTAATACAAAAAAGTGTATTAGTAAGTCTGGGAAGTGTAAGTCTGGGATATGTGAAATTAAAGCAAAGTTACATAGGTTTTTTATTGCATTTTTTTTTTGAGACAGGGTCTTGCAGTGGTGCAATCATGGCTTACTGCAGTGTTGAACTCCTGGCCTCAAGCCATCCTCCTGTCTCAGCTTCCCAAAGCACCAGGATCACAGGCGTAGGCCACCAGCACAGCCCTCTTGCAGAACTTCTTTCAGTCCTTAATATGCAAGTTCAGCCATCAAATCAGCATGCATTGATGGACTGCCGGCTGTATGCATGGTACTCTTGGGGTGCTGGGAACAGAAGCATGGGAAAGACATGGCTCCTGCCTGGAGTTTATAAGTTAGCAGCAGATGGACATTAAATGACTAAGTACCCACTAATGATGCAATTACACGTGCTCCAAAAGAGAAAGCGGGTGTTGAGGGAACATTCATCATTAGGTCCTGCTCAAGTCTGGGGAATCAGAAATGGCTTTTCTGGGGAAATGATGTTCAAGTTCAGATCTGAAGAAGAGAACGATGTTTCCTAAGTGAAAGAGGCATGGGTTTGGAGGATTTCAGGCAGGGGGACAGTGCATGCAAAGGCCCAGAAAAGGAAAGTGCTTGGAGTCTCTGCTCTGTTTTGAAAATTAATCTAACCAAGAAACCCTTTCCTCATACCCCTTCCAAGTCTCCAGACTGTTGGGGGACTAGAATTTGGCTTTGGTGTCATAGAAAAACCTCTGCAGGGACTTGAGAGTGTCACTGATTGTCTGGGTGACAATGGAGCTGCATTTTTTGAGCCTTGTTTTTCTTATCAATAAAATTAGGGGTAGATAGACAACAGTAAGATAGCTAAGAATCCCTCCAGCTGCGGCAGGCTAGGATTTCATGCGAATGCTCTTCCATTTCTTAGGGTAGGGAGAGAGGGAAGTAGATCTAATTGTAAACAGGGGAATTTTTAGTCTGGAAGGGAAATAACACAGCTCGTGGAGGGTGGGGTAGAAAAATGCAGTGTGGCTGCCATTCTAAAGCCTTAGGTGACCCAGTTAGAAGCCATGTATTCACGGGGTCCGCCCATCAATACACAGTTACTCACCAGCTGCCATTGACTAAGGGTTATGTACTAAGGGCAGGGGACTCGGGGCTCCTGCCCTGAGCCCGGCGGGAAACCTGGAGACAGCACCCCACACTGCAGTTGCTCTCTCCTTTCAAAGGCAGGACTTCCAGGGCCTGGAGCCTCAAGGCCTCTGTGGAGGGGACAAAGGGCTCTTGAGGTCACTGGAGAGGCCAGAAGGCGGCTCATTAAGTGGCTGGCATCACTTTCCTGCAACCCCTGCCCCGTTCTAGGGGCACAGAGCGGGGACAGCAGCCTGGAATCTTGGAGAACCAAGAGGACACGTGCTGGAATACAGGAACCCTTCAGAGGCGCACTGATTTTATAAAGTAACACGCTCACTCAGGATACCAACAAAGGGTCTTGTTTTTGAAACTCCTGCAAGTAGAGAAAAGAAGACCCACTAGAGCCAGCCAGTAAGTTACGAACAAATGATGAATGAAAACTATCATCTCCCGGGATCCCAGGTTCTCCCCCTGCTTTTTTTTTTTTGCCTTTTAATCTTTTCTCCTTTTTTTCTGACTTTTAATCTTTCTCTCTCTCTCCCACTTTTTTTTTGGCTCCTCAGGCCAGACCTTTTTGTCCCATTTGTTCCTCTCCGCCCCAGAAAACAGACACTGTGTCAACCCGGCTGGTTTTTCTGCTGTTCTCAGATTACTTCACTCGAAGAACTTTGTGTGAGCTGCTTCTTCCCGTGTTTGCTGGAAAGTGGATCCTAATTCCTATCTGGGCTTTGCAGCTCAGAAGATTCTGGGTGCCCTGGCCCTGCAGCCCCATGGTAGTGAGACAGACAGACCACCGAGATCCTTCTCTCTGCAGAGCCAGTATCTTAGCTCAGGCTGCTGTAAAGCAAAATACCACAAGCCGAGTGGCTTCAACAATGGAAATTTATTGTCTCTCAGTTCTGGAGGCCAGAAGTCCAAGGTCAAGGGGTCAGCAGCGCGGGGAGGAGAGGACCCGTTCTAGGCCTCTCTCCTCGGCTTGTAAATGGCCGTCTTCTCCCTTTGTCTCTTCTCATGGTCTTCCTTCTGTGCGTGTCTTTGTGTCCAAATGTTCCCTTTTTCATAAGGACACCAGTCATGTTGGATCCAAGCCACTCTAATGACCTCATTTTAACTTGATTATCTCTTTACAGACCCTATCCCCAAATAACCGCAGGTTCTGAGGGACTGGAGGTTAGCACTTCATCATATGGATTTAGGGGGAGGAGAAGACACAATTCAATCCGTAACAGCCAGTAAGACTTACAACTTTGGCTGGGTGCGGTGGCTCACGCCTGTAATCACAGCACTTTGGGAGGCTGAGGCAGGTGGATCATGAGGTGAGGAGTTCAAGACCGGCTTGGCCAAGATGGTGAAACCCCGTCTCTACTAAAAACACAAAAATTAGCTGGGTGTTGTGGCATGTGCATGTAATCCCAGCTACTCGGGAGGATGAGGCAGAGAATTGCTTGAACCTGGAAGGTGGAGGTTGCAGTGAGCCAAGATCACACCACTGCACTCCAGGCTGGGCGGCAGGGTGAGACTACGTCTTAAAAAGAAAAAAAACCTTAAAACTTCAGTGTTCCAATGGCTTACATGGGGGCTTGCCAAAAATAGAGATACAAGGCCGAGTGCAGTGGCTCACGCCTCTAATCCCAGCACTTTGGAGACCAAGGTGGGGAAATCACTTGAGCCCAAGAGTTTGAGTTCAGCCTGGGCAACATAGCGAGACCCATCTCTACAAAAAATACAAAAATCAGCCAGGTGTTGTGGTGCACAGCCATGGACCCAGCTACTCGAGCGGCTGAGGGATGGGAGGATTGCTTGAGCCCAGGAGGTTGAGGCTGCAGTGAGCCGAGATGGCACCACTGAACTCCAGCGTGGGCAACAGAGAGAGACTGTGTCTCAAAAACCAAACAAGGCCCGGTGTGTTGGCTTACGTGTGTAATCCCAACACTTTGGGAGGCTGAAGCAGGCAGATCACTTGAGGTCAGGAGTTCGAGACCAGCCTGGGCAACATGGCGAAACCCTGTCTCTACTGAAAGTACAAAAATTAGCCGGGTGTGGTGGCACACGCCTGTAGTCCCAGCTACTCGGGAGACTGAGGCATGAGAATCACTTGAAGCCGGGAGGTGGAGGCTGAGGCTGCAGTGAGCTGAGATGATGCCACTACACTCTAGCCTGGGCAACAGAGCAGAACCCTGTCTCAGAAAAACAAAACAAAACAAAAACTAGAGGTACCAGTGGCCCTCCCACAGATTCTGATTTAATAGGTCTGGGGTGGAGGCCAGGACTCTGATTTTTAAAAGCACCCTGGGATAAGTGTGATGGAACAACCCACCCTAACTGCTCTAAGGCAGTTCCCCCCAAACCCCCCATTTGATGCTGCAAATCACCGCATGGCCTGTGGAAGGGCCTATAACACGAACGTTGTGCTTACACTCTCCTGCTGCAAAGAAAAGACGTCCTCTTGTGCCTAGCTTTTCCTTAGTCCCTGCTCAGATTTCCCTGCAGGGATCCTGGTGGCATCTGCAGGCCTCCAGGGGACCCTCCTGGCCAACCTGCTTGTCGGTCACTGGCTCGGTGGGTGGCAGGCAGGCAGCAGGACAGGTCAGCTTTTGGAGTCTGAGGCCTGGCTCTGCCATTTCATGGCTGATTAACTTTGGATGGATCACTTGGCCTCTGCAGGGCTGAGCTTTTTTGCCTTTGCAATATGGGACTTCCTTGTCTGTCTCAGAGGGCTGCCATAAGGACTGAATGAAATGATGTTTGTCAAAGGTGTGTGACATAGTGCCAGGTACTAAGAAGGGATAGGGTGAGTGGTGGCTCAAGCCACTCACTGGCTCCCAGCACTTTGGGAGGCCAAGGCGGGCAGATCACTTGGGGTCAGGAGTTGGAGACTAGCCTGGCCAACGTGGTGAAAATACAATCTCTACTAAAAATACAAAAATTAGCCAGGCGTGGTGGCATGCCCATGTAATCCCAGCTACTCGGGAGGCTGAGGCAGGAGAATCGCTTGAACCCAGGAGGTGGAGGTTGCAGTGAGCCGAGATCGCACCACTGCACTCCAGCCTGGGCGACAGAGCGAGACTCTATCTTAAAAACAAGGAAAGCGTGGGGGATAGATATTAATTACTATTATTATCCTCCACTCCCATCAGATGGCAAACCCAGGTTTAATGCACTCTTGCAACCTCAGTGCACCAAGGAGGAACAAGGAGAGACTCGATCCTAAAGGGATCAGAGGCTGTCTGACTGTTCTGAGGATGAAGAGACAGCCTTGCCTTTGAATTCCGCAGTCACCGTGTGGGCAAGTGGGATCTGTCAGGCATGCTGTGGAAACCTAGATTCGAGTTGCATTACCCTGATGTCTGCCTTCTTGCTTTAAAGAAACCTGCCCACTCCATCTCCAGAGTAGAAAATGGATGTGTTGCTGAATCAATGCTTTTTTTTTTTTTTCTCTCTCCCCAGGATGGTGTAATGGTTCCCAGGGCAGAGTCTGGAACCAGACTGCCTGGCTCTGAGAGTTCAGCACCCTCAGCTCCTAGCTGTGCTGCCTTTTGTAAGTCACTCAACTTCTCTGTGCCTTAGTTCTCTTCTTTGTAAAACAGGGAAATAATACTACCTACCTCACAGTGAAAATGACATGACTTTTTGATGAACGCAACCCAGAGAAGTGCCCAGCACAGAGTTAACTGTCTGCGTTAGCCTTTATCATTAGCTATAGTTTTATTATATTTCATTTCCCCTTTATGCCTCATCCTCAATTCCATTCCCTTTCTTCTCAAAATCGCCCATTGTGCTTTGAATCCATGTCCATACTTGTCCTCTAACGTATGTAAATATATAGTGTTTGTTGTTTTGTGAATGCTTTCAAAAGATTTTTTAGAAGATATTGTGCTAGCTGGGCGTGATAGCATGCACCTGTGGTCCCGGCTACTTGAGAGGCTGAGGTGGGAGGATCACTTGAGCCCAGGAGGTTGAGACTGCAGTGAGCCGTGATTGTGCCACTGTACTCTAGCTTGGGCAAGAGAGCAAGACCTTGTCTCAAAAAAAAAAAAAAAGCATTATGCTATAACAAATCTTATTTTAGTTTTATATTCATTGCTATTAGGTGTTTGTTTGAGACGGAGTCTCGCTTTGTCACCCAGGCTGGAATGCAGTGGCACTATCTCAGTTCACTGCAACCTCCGCCTCCCGGGTTAAAGTGATTCTGCTGCCTCAGCCTCCCAAGTAGCTGGGATTACAGGCATGTGCCACCACACCCGGCTAATTTTTGTGTTTTTAGTAGAGATGGGGTTTCACCATACTGGCCAGGCTGGTCTTGAACTCCTGACCTCATGTCATCTGCCCACATTCTCTCCCAAAGGGCTGGGATTATAGGCATGAGCCACCGCGCCTGGCTGCTATTAGGTTTTTGCCTTCAAACATGTTGCTATAGATCATTCTAGTTCATTCCTTTTGTCACCTACATAGTATTCCGTTGCGTGCCCATACTACATTTTATTTACCCATTCCCCTACTGACGGACACATAGGTTACTCCAAACTCTGCTACCATGAATGGCACTGCACAAGGATCATCCTTAGACAGGCCACCTGTGCCTGTGTGCAAAGCTCCTCTGGGGACAGATAACCTTTGCACCATCCTCATATTCGGTCATCAGCCATTGCCTCTTCCTATATCTCTTCCAAAATATTTAGTGACCCAGTCAATGTTATCCCAGAAAATACATGCGGAGATAAGATCTGAAGCCAACACTCCCTGTTTTCTTCATAACGTGTTATTTCATCTTGTGGCCTGTGAGTTTAATAAGTGGAAGAAGATAGTCACCACCTCACTGCGTCCTCACGTGCTCTTTCCTCTGTGTGTGCCCCTGGTGTCTCTGTGTGTCCAAATCTTGTCTTCTTACCAGGACACCAGTCAGACTGGATTAGGGCCCACCCTAACTGCCCCATTTTAACTTTCTCCCCTCTGTGAAGGCCCTGGCTCCAAATACAGCCACATTCTGATGTACTGGGGTTTAGGACTCTAACGTATGAATTTTGGGGAGACATAGTTCAATCCATAACAGCCTTTTGCTTTTTTTTTTGTTTTTTTTTTTTTGAGACACAGTCTCACTCTGTCACCCAGGCGCTGGAGTTCAGTGGCACAATCTTGGCTCACTGCAACCTCCACCTCCCGGGTTCAAGTGAATCTCCTGCCTCAGCCTCCCGAGTAGCTGGGGTTACAGGCACCACCATCAGGCCCGGCTAATATCTGTATTGTTAGTAGACACAGGATCTCTCCATGTTGCCCAGGCTGGTCTCGAACTCCTGACTTCAGGTGATCAGTCTGCCTCAGCCTCCCAAAGTGCTGCGATTACAGGTGTGAGCCACTGCGCCCAGGCACGCCTCTTGCTTTTGATCCTCTTCCTGGCTGATCTCTCTGGGTTAGAGCTTGAACTGGTCTGCAAACAAAAGACTTCTAGAAGGTGAGTGATTAGGCCATGTGGTCCCTCCAGTTTCAGCGTGGGCTCCCGGGAACCCAACCGCATATCATCTGCTGCCCCGTGCCCCAGAGGCCAAGGGCATGGTGGTTAAAATATAACGAGCTCTGGAGTCCAACAATCTGAGTTAGTGTCTCCAATCCTGACATTTATTCGTGTATGACCCTGGTGAGTTTATCTTGCTGAGCCTTTTTTTCCCATCAGCAAATTGAGATGATCGGCTACCTTGTACAGTTGTTTTAAAAATTAAATTAAGGAACTAGAAGAACAAGACTACTTCCCTGCTCAATGCCACTTTTGGACAGAGGCCTGGAGGGAAGATGACCACTGACTCTCAAGTTACTCTGACCCTTACAAAGAAGTACTTCTACATTTTAGCAGAATATCCTAGTCTGGCTGCATCTATTCCAGTAGTCACTAGGCCTGTTCTTGATTTATAGCAGGTATAGGAGCTTGATTGACATGGAGTGGGGAGGAAACAGAATGTGTGGCCTGCTCCACTGTGAAAGGCAATACTGTAAATTATGGGGGCTGTTACGAAAATGTCACTTCCTCATTGTGGGTTTACACATATTACTTCTGAGAATTAATATTTGTCATTAGAGATGTGTTTGGGTAAAACCCTGATTTTCAATGCAAGCTGCAAATTAAAATAACCTAGGAAATGTAAAGAAAAAGATACTGATCTTCAGACCTCACCACCAGATATTCTATTTGTTATTGTTGTCCTAGAGGTCAGGGTTTTGTTTTGTTTTGTTTCGAGACAGGGTCACACTCTGTCACAGGCTGCAGTGCAGTGGTATGATCACAGCTCACTGAAGCCTTGACCTCCCTGGCTCAAGCAATCCTCCTGCCTTGGCGTTCCAAAATGTTGAGATTACAGGCATGAGCCACCATGCCTGGCCTGAAGTCAGTTAAAAAAAAAAATTCCCTTGACTGGACATGAAGGCTCATGCCTATAATCCCAGCATTTTGGGAGGCTGAGATGGCAGGATCAGTTGAGCCCAGGAGTTCGAGACCAACCTGGGTAACATATCCAGACTCCATCTCTACATAACAACAATTTTCCTAGGTGATGGCACCGTGTAGCTAGGGCTAGAGAACCGTTCATCCTAAGTTCATACCAACAGCTTCCCATACATTCAGTAACTCAGCCAACAAATACTTATTGTGTGCCTACTGTGTGCCAGGCACAGTTCTGGGCTCTGGGATACAGCAGTGAATATGTCAGGCAAAATCCCTGTCTTTATGGAGGACTTACTAGAATTTAAGAGGAGATCCTCAATAAACAAAACAAGTACATGACGTAGCATGTCATATACTTTCCAAATGATGAGTGCTTAGAAAAAAATTAAGTGGGAAAAGGAAATAAGGAGTGGGGTGGGGGCAGGTGTCACCCAGGTGCCAACTGAGCAGAGGGTAGCAGGTGAGATTAAGTCATGTCGCCATCTAGAGGAAGACAGGGAGTCCCAGGCAGAGGGCGCTGCCCATGCAAAGGCCCTGAGGTGAGCATGCATCCTGTGTGTTTGAGTGATGCAAGGAGGCCCTGCGGATAAAACAAGGGAGCAGGGGCAGCAGAGCAGAAGATGAGTTCCTGATACTGTAGACTGCATTTTACTCTGAGGGAGATGAGAAGCCACTGGCAGATGTGGGCAGAGCAGTGAGAAGTTCTGACCTGCATTTTCAAAGGATTGCTCTGGCAGTTTTCTTGAAAATGAACTTAGGAGGGAAAAGGTGGAAGGAAGCAGGGAGACCAGTCAAGAGGCTGTTGCACATTTTGCTAAGGGAAATTAGCCAGACGCAAAAGGGCAACTATTGCACGATTCCATTTATATGAGGTATGTACCCACAACAGGCCAATCCATGGAGACAGAAAGCAGAAGCATCTTACCAGGGCATGGGGAGGGGAGAATGGGAGGTTAATGTTTAATGGGTACAGAGTTTCTGTTTGAAAAGATGAGAAAGTACTAGAAATAGGAGTGATGTTTGCCCAACACTGTGAATGTACTTAATGCCACTGAACCGTATACTTCAAAATGGCTAAAATTGTAAATCTTATGTTATTTATTTTACTGCAATAAAAAAATAAATTTAAAAAGGAGGACTGGGTATGGTGACTCATGCCTGTAATCATAACACTTTGGGAGGCCAAGGTGAGTGATCACTTGAGGTCAGGAGTTCGAGACCAGCCTTGCCAACATGGCAAAGCCCTGACTCTACTAAAAATTAAAAAAAAATGAGCCAGCCGTGGTGACAGGCACCTGTAATCCCAGCTACTCAAGAAGTTGAGGCAGGAGAATTGCTTGAACCCGGGGGGCAGAGGTTGCAGATCGATCCACTGCACTCCAGCCTAGGAGACAGAGTAAGACTCAAAAAAAAAAAAAAAAAAAAAAAAGAGGCTATTGTAACTATCCAAGTGAGAGATTATGGAGGCTTGGAACAGGATGTTGGCAAGAAGCCGGAGGTGGTGGTGGTGGTGCATATGGTAAGGGTGCTGCTATGTCTTGCGGGCAGCACACACAGAATTTGCTGATGCGTTTGGAGGCAGGGTGTGGGGAGAGGAGTCAAGTTCAAGGCCGAGGTTTTGGACCTGAACAACCAGAAGGATGAAGGGTACATTCACTGAGAAAAGTAAGGCTGGGAGTACAGTAGGTGTCATTGGTGGGGAGATGAGGAGTCTGGTCTTGGTCGTGGTAAGCTTGCGATGTCAAGTTGACCATCCACAAGGACAGGCTGGAGTGGCAACTGAGCCCTGGGTAGAGGCTGGCTGGCTGGAGATGTTCTTTGGGGAGTGACCTGTGTGTGGATGGTGTTCTAGGCATAAAAGGACTCTCAAGCGTTAGGCTCTGGGGACAGACCTAAGATACAGGGAGGAGAGAAATTAGCAAGGACAGAAGGATGGGGTAGAGAGAGAAAGGTGAAGGCAGGGAGCGTAGTAGCCTGGGAGTCAATTGTAGAAAGTGTTTCAGGCTGGGCAGGGTGGATCATGCCTGTAATCCCAGCACTTTGGGAAGCCAAGGAGGGCAGATCACTTGAGGTCAGGAATTGGAGACCACCCTGGCCAGTATGGTGAAACCCTGTCTCTACTAAAAATATGAAAATTACCTGGACATGGTGGCATGTGCCTGTAGTCCCAGCTACTCGGGAGGCTGAGGCAGGAGAATCGCTTGAACCTGGGAGGCGGACGTTGCAGTAAGTCGAGATCATGCCACTGCACTCCAGCCTGGGCCACAGCCTGGGTGACAAAAAAAAAGAAAGAAGGAAAGTGTTTCAAGGATCTATTGGGTGAAACACTGTGGATAGGCCAAGTGAGATGAAGACTGAGAGTTGACCATTGGTTCTGCAACCAAGAGGCTGTAGTTTAAATGACGTGCAGAGCAGGTGAGGGCAGAGCCTGGCTGGAGTGAGCGTAGGAGACAACTGTAAGAATAACGAAGTGTGTTGGGGCCCATACTCATGGAAAGATCCCAAAGGGGACAGGACCAAGTGTGACTGCGGCCACTCTGGACTGTTCTGGCTTGGAATGTCTTGCTGGAGCCTGGGGTATTATTAAAAATGGAGTAACTCCCATTTGAGGGAAGTATACTAGCTTGGGGGATGCTGAGCCCAGGAGAAGACCATTGTGCGTTGGTGGAGTAGGGAGGATTTTACCAAGAGAGGGAGAAAGGTCATACGCTGGAATCTGTGAGAAGTGGATCCTCTTGTAGAAAGGGCCCCTGCCAGTAGGCAACAAGCCAGAACTGCAGCCCAGGGGGACATGTTCATTTCCTCTTGCTCTGTAACAAATTACCACAGGTTTAGTGGCTTCAAACAACACTCATTTATAATTCTGTAGGTTAGAAGTCCAGACAGCTGGGCTGGATAGGTGGCTGAGGGTCTCCCAGGCTGAAATCAAGGTGTTGACTGTGCTGGGCTTTGATCTGAAGGCTCTGGGGAGAAGCTACTTCTAGGCTCATGGCAATTCTTGGCAGAATTCAATTCTGTGCACTGTGTTCCTTCTCGTGTGGACTCTGCCATTCTCAAGCTAGCAGTGGCACATGCAAGCCTTCTTGCGTTTTGAATTTCTCTGATTTCCTCTTCTGCCTCTGCCTTATCTGGGTGGGCCAGTATAACACAACAACATAATATATTGGGCCCACCCAGATAATCCAGGATAATCTCCCTATTTGAAGTTCAACTGATTACATCTGCAAAGTCCCTTTTGCCCCATTAAAGTAACATGTTCGGGGCACCATAGCATATTGACAGTCCCAGAAATTAGGGCGTGGAATTTCCTTGGCGGGGGCCATACACCTGGCTACAACAACGGTATTCCTTAAAGACCCTCCCCCGGATCACTGCACAAGGCATATTTTACAAACATACAATGTTCCTTTCGTGTTGTCATTAGGCTTTGTTTGCTCCACTCCCCAGCGAAATCTAGTAACTTGTGTTGTGGATGACAAAGCTGAGCTCCCCGACATCTGTGTCAAGCTGCCTTTCTGGCCCAAATCTTGTAGCAACCACGCGGTTCCGGGTGGGGCCGAGATTCTACCACCACCCTCCAGCTCCAGAAAGGGGTCATTGTTTTTCTGAGCCAATCAGGGTGGTCCCACTCTATCCACAGCCACACTGATTGGTTTAGAGATGAACATGTGACCAAAGATGGTAGAATCAGAGGCATGCTGAGGACTTCTGACTCAGATGGGAAAAGGCTATTCTTCCAGCTTAATCTACAAGGCGCTAGTGGCCATCTTGTAACCAAAGAGGGAAGAGAGCCTTTGAAGGAAACCGATACCAGGAAAACAGGGACAAGAGATGGAAAGAAAGGTGAGTTCCTATCCCACTCTCCATGATGTGATTATTACACATTGCATCCTCCTACCAAAAGCGCCTCATGTTGGCCTGGCGCCGTGGCTCACCCCTGTAGTCCCAGCACTTTGGGAGGCCGACCCAAGCAGATTGATCACCTGAGGTCAGGAGTTTAAGACCAGCCTGGCCAACATGGCAAAACCCCATCTCTACAAAAATACAAAAATTAGCCAGGCATGATGGCGGGTTCCTGTAATCCCAGCTACTCGGGAGGCTGAGGTGGGAGAATGGCTTCAACCCGGGAGGTGGAGCTTGCAGTGAGCGGAGATCCGCCTCTGCACTCCAGCCTGGGCGACAGTGCGAGACTCTGTCTCAAACAAACAAGCAAACAAACCAAAAAACACCTCATGTACTCCAGAAATATATATACCTACAATGTACCCATACAATTAAAAATTTTTTTAAAAAGCAAAAGGAGCAAAAACTTATAGTTGATGAAAAAATAGTTTTTCATCAATAAATAATACTTTTTTAAATGTAAAGATTAAAGACATTTTCACATTAGAAAAAAAAAAAGATGGCCGAGCTCGGTCGCTCACGCCTGTAATCCCAGCACTTTGGGAGGCCAAGGTGGGCGGATCACGAGGTCAGGAGATCGAGACCATCCTGGCTAACACAGTGAAACCCCGTCTCTACTGAAAATACAAAAAATTAGCTGGGCGTGGTGGTGGGCGCCTGCAGTCCCAGCTACTTGGGAGGCTGAGGCAGGAGAATGGCATGAACCCGGGAGGCAGAGCTTGCAGTGAGCTGAGATCACGCCACTGTACTCCAGCCTGAGTGACAGAGCGAGACTCCGTCTCAAAAAAAAAAAAAAAAATGAGTTCCTAGTGGCATTGCTGAACAGCTGGATCAACCCTTGCCTAAAGCCCACTCCATCTGCAGGCTTTTCATTTATGTCACCCAATACATTCCTCTTATTATTGAAGCCACTTTGAGTTCGATTTGCTCTTACTTGCCATCAAAATTACCCCAACAGACAGAACTTGTTTAACAAGGTGATGATTTTACAGAGCAGAGTCATGGATGGGGCCACAAAGACAGGTGTGGTCTGCCCTATTTCCACCTCCCCCTCTGCAAAGCCTTCTAAAAAAGCAGGCATATGGTACTAAGGGGACTTCAGCCCAGGGTTTCCCTGGATCATGGTCAACAGCAAAGCAAAGAGTGGCCCTGGCAGAGCAGGAGGAACAGCTGGTGTGAGGAGGAGCGGTAAGATAGGGACCTTGGGAATGGCTGTGGGATACCCTATCGCCCTTTCTCAAACACGCTGAAGAGAGGTGACATGTAAGAGAAGAGGAAAGACTGATGTCAGCAAATATATGCGAAGTGCTGAACAGTGGCCGGCACATGGTAGCCCTCAATACAGAGTACCACTTTGCGCCCAGGCCCTTCGAGGTGAGAATGAACCCCAGAGTGGGAGATGAATCACTAGAGGATAAATGTGTGTTTCTTCTCTTCTTTAGCAAAGGCTGTGCTTGAAAATAACCTTCACTCATTGTTATGGCCTGAATTGGGTCCCACCTAAAGTCATAGATTGAGGTCCTAACCCCCTAGCACCTCAGAATGTGACTTTATTTGGAGGTAGGGTCTTCACAGAGGTAATCAAGTTATACTGAGGTCATTAGGCCGGACCCTTGTTCAATGTGACTGGTGTCCTTGTAAGAAGAGGAAATGTTTGCTGGGTACGGTGGCTCACACTTGTAGTCCCAGCACTTTGGGAGGCTGAGGCAGGAGGATTACTTAAGCTCAGAAGTTCAAGACCAGCCTGGGCAACATGGCAAGACTCCATCTCTACAAATAATAAAAAAATTAGCAGGGGCATGGTGGCATGAGCCTATAGTCCCAGCTATTCAGGAGGCTGAGGTGGGAGGATCACTTGTGCCCAGGAGAGATTGAATCTGCAGTGAGCCATGATCGTGCCACTGTACTCCAGTCCGGGTGATAGAACGAGAACCTGTCTCTTAAAAAGAGAGAGAGAGAGAAAAAAAATTGGGGCAGACAGAGAGACAGCAGGGGTATACATCCACAGAGCCCACAGAGGAAAGGCCACGTGAGGACACAGGGAGAAGGTGACGACCTGCAAGACAAAGAAGAAACCAAATCTGCCAACACCTCGATCGTGGACTTTCAGCTTCCAGAACTGTGAAAAGATAAATGTCTGTTATTTAAGCCTCCCATTCTGTGGTATTTTGTCACATCAGCCAGAGCAGACTGGGACACCTGGGTTGAATGGTGCCCCCTCTTAGAAGATCTGTCCACCAGCACCTGTGAATGGTCCCTGATTTGGAACAAGAGTCTTTGCAGATGTAATTACATTTAGGATCTCAAGATGAGAACATTCTGGGTGAACTGAGTGGGCCCTAAACTCAATGACAACTGTCCATATAAGACACAGAAGAGAAGAGGAGAAACAGAGAAGGCCAGGTGAAGAGGGAGGCTGAAACTGGAATGAGGAAGATTGCCAGTGGCCACCAGAAGCCAGGATAGAGGCAAGGGATGGAGCCTCCTCAGAGACCCCAGAAGGGGCCGGCCCTGCCCACATCTTGATTCCACACCTCTGGCCTTGAGAACTGCAAGAAAATTTCTGTCGTTTTGGCCGGGTACAGTGGCTCACACCTGTAATCCCAGCACTTTGCGAGGCCGAGGCGGGTGGATCACCTGAGGTCAGGAGCTCAAGACCAGCCTGGCCAACATGGTGAAACCCCTTCTCTACTAAAAATACAAAAATTAGCCAGGCACGGCGGCAGGTGCCTGTCATCCCAGCTACTCGGGAGGCTGAGGCAGGAGAATCCCTTGAACCAGGGAGGCAGAAGTTGCAGTGAGCCAAGATCACGCCACTGCACTCCAGCCTGGGTGACAGTGAGACCCTGTCTCTAAAGAAATACAAAATAAAAATAAAGTGAGATGCGACCATATGTGCCCGCCAGAAGGAGCATCTCCTACTGGCTGCACAGGGCCGGACCTGCCCGGGTATGTCTGTGTCTGTGTCTGTGTCTGGCAGCTGCCTCTGAAAGTGGAGATTCTGTACATCTCTGTTTCTGTGACCACCTCTCAGACAAAGCCTTATTCCTACGCAGAAATTCTGCTGCTTAAAATAAAAGTTATAATTTAAGCCAGAGATGGAGCGGTGGAATACAGTGGTGTCCCCTCCTGCAGCCCCCACCGCACGCGCCCTCCCTGAGAGCCCTGAGCCCTGAGCCCCACACATGCCACATGTGCAGAGCCGGGTGGCTCCCAGGGAGGCAGGTGGAGGAGCCACAGCTTGTTACAGGAGCACCTGCGGCAGCGAGTCAGATGAGGAATTCCTTCCATCTCTGGCAGACGGGAGTGGGGTTGCCAAATAGCGGCTCTCCTTTCCAGCCTTCCCTCCGGCTCCCAAAGTGTGACAGCCCCAGGTCTGTTCAGCAAATTCTTCCTTGGCTGTCTCTGCTCCCATTCCCAATTTGGGAATCCGCGATAAGCCTCTAGAAGCGGAGGCCCGGTGCCCAGAAAGGCTGGCGCCTACCCAGCCACACACAGGAGGAGGCTGAGAGCCTTCCTTGGAAAGTGGAAAGTCCAAATCAGGACAAGGAGGCTGTGTTTTGCCACAGTAATGCCACACTGTAGAGGGGGCCGAGTTTTGAAATAACGATTTTCAAAGACTGTGCATAGTTGTCAGTTGACTCCCAAAGAAATACCCTACCATGCTTCTCCCCAGCCTGTGCCCATCCTGAGGGGAGCTCTCTGGTTGAGGTGGCAAGGGAACCCCTGTCCCCGAGTCAGCCACTTTGGATGTCAGGGTGCTTGAAAAGCGTTTTGCCCATGCAGGGGGCACTCACACCTCACCATGCTCTTCCACGGACTCGAGGGCACTCTTTCACTCTTTGTTTTTGTTTTTGATTTTTGAGATGGAGTCTTGCTCCGTTGCCCAGGCTGGAGTGCAGTGGCACAATCTCAGTTCACTGCAACGTCCGCTTCCTGGGTTCAAATGATTCTTCTGCCTCAGCCTCCCGAGTAGCTTGGATTACAGGCACCCACCACCCTGCCCGGCTAATTTTTGTATTTTTAGTAGAGACAGGGTTTCACCATGTTGGCCAGGTTGGCCTCGAAGTCCTGACCTCAAGTGATCTGCCCACCTCGGCCTCCCAAAGTGCTGGGATTACAGGCGTGAGCCACCGTGTCCAGCCACTCAGAGCAAGACAGGGTCTTGCTCTGTCGCCCAGGCTGGAGTGCAGTGGTGCAGTCACGACTCACGGCAGCCTCAAACTCTCAGACTAGCTTCCCACCTCAGCCTTCTGAGTACCTGGGACTACAGGTGTGCACCGCCACACCCAGCTAACTTTCTAAATTTTTTGTAGAGATAAGGGTCTTGCTATGTTGCCCAGGCTGGTTTTGAATTCCGGACCCCAAGCAATCATCCCACCTGGGCCTCCCAAAGCACTAAGATTACAAGTGTGAGCCACTGCACCTGGCCCCCAAAGGTACTCTTTCATATTCCTACCCCTAGACGCCAAAGTCAGGAGTTACTGTCTTGGGAAACGATTCTCTCTGAGAGGAGATAGACTCCTGAGTGCCTGGAGAAGGGAATGGCAGAGAAATCAGGGAATGTGGGTTCCTTACAAGGTCACACCGAGGGGACGGCCAGTGAAGTCATTCCTGTGGGTTGAGTGTGCGGCGAGAGATTAGCGGTCAGGGCGGAGGCTTCTAGAAGAAATAGAGGGACTTCTTATTCTCCAGTGTAAATTCCACTGAAACCTGGGCCTGTATCTTCTGGCTCTGGCTGAGGGCGAAGTCCAAGGCTATCTCCAGGCGGGTGAGGAAAGGCTGGTGAAGGAGTTGTGTGGATGGCTGAGCCGCTCGCTCCTCCAGAACCACGAGGCAACCCCCCAGCCTGCTGCTGCCCACATTCTACCAGGCAACGCTGGCTGCTGTATCCATGCGCCTGTATTTTCTCAAGAGTAAATAACGCCAGAGCACAGCTCTCTCTCTCCCCAAAGCCGAAATCATTCAGCAAAACATGGTCATGTCCAGCAAAGAAAATCACTGTCAGCGGCCAAACATGGAAACAAGTACAAGCCCACATTAAAAATGTTGAAAATCGGTCCGGCGCGGTGGCTCACGCCTGTAATCCCAGCACTTTGGGAAGCCAAGGTGGGAGGATCCCGTGAGCCCAGGAGTTTGAGACCAGCGTGGGCAACATGGCGAAACCCCGTCTATAAAAGTTACAGAATATTAGCTGGGTGTGGTGGCACATGCCTGTAGTTCCAGCTACTCGTGGGCTTGAGTCCAGGAGGTCGAGGCTGCAGTGAGCTATGTTTGTGCCACTGCACTCCAGCCTGGGTGACGAAACGAGATCCTGCCTAAAAAAAAAAAAAAAAAAAAAAAAAAAAAAAAAAAAAAAAAATTGAAAAGTGTTGTCGAAGAAAGAAACACGACTCTGGCATAACCCAAAGCAGCTCCGGACTCCGCTTTCATCACCCGCCTCCGATAAAGCAGGACTATATACAGGAAGGTTAAACCCCCACTCCAATAAAGGAAGGTTAATCCATAAAATCCCGAGATTTCTCACAAACTCTCTGGAACAAATGAAGCAGCCTCAGGAGATAGGAAATATCATAGGATAAAAGCTCCGACATACCCCCAGGCTCTCAGGATCCTGGCCCTTTTCCAGAGTTCCACAAAATGTAAAGCAGTGACTGGAAGACTTGAGGCCTCCATATGGCAGGAAGAATGCCCTAATTAAGTAGAGTGAAATCTGGAACAAGACGTTTCACAAAGTCTCAGCCGAGAAGGCAGGACGCAGCTTCTCCAGCAAAGGCAACGCCAGCCTCCAGCTGAATCTCTCTCTGAGATTTCTTCCTGCCAAGTTACTAGGTACAGGAAAGTGGCTCTAACTTCAAAATCCCTGTCCCCAAACTGTCGTTCAGAAGGGTAAGCACAAAAGCAACAAGATAAGGAGTGAAGTATGTCAAGGAGAATCCAACCTCCCTCCAAGACAGAAACAGAAGGTTGGGACCCCACTGCAGACCTGCAGGCATAATAATGAGAAAAAGGGCCGGTGCCGTGGCTCCTGCCTGTAATCCCAGCACTTTGAGTGGCCAAGGCCGGTGGATCACTTGAGCCCAGGGGTTTGAGACCAGCCTGGCCAACATGGCAAAACTGTCTTGACTAAAAATACAAATATTAGCCAGATGTGGTGGCAGGCACCTGTAATCCCAGCTACTCAGAAGGCTGAGGCAGGAGAATCTCTTGAGCCCAGGAGGCGGAGAGTGCAGTGAGCCGAGATTGCGCCACTGCACTTCAGCCTGGGCAACAGAGTGAGACTCTGTTGAAAGGAAGGTAGGAAGGAAGGAAGGAAGGGAGGGAGGGAAGGAAAAAGGAAGGAAGAAAGAAACACCTGTGCTAGTGGCAGATGCAGACACCTGCCTGGAAGAAAACCTGACCCTGAAGTCACTTGCAGTGCCCTATGATGTGTCACGCTGCAACAGATACTGCTGACCCCCAGATCTCCTTGGACAGGCAGCATTGCTGCTGACAACTCAGCTGCCCACCTGTCTGGGAGGCTGGGAGGCTTCCCTGCCACAGGGGCATTCTGCAGCCAAGGATGGCTGAGGGCAGACGGCTGGCCCCTGGCCCGAAGGTGGGACCGACCCTATAACATGGCTGAGGCCCTAAGTGCTAAGTTGTGGGGTCTGCAACTTGGGGGACCACTTTGTGAGCAAGCTAGAGGAGGAAATAGAAAAGATTGTTCCTATAGCTCATCTGTTTCTCGTTCTTTCCCCACCCAAGATAAAATATTTCAGAGGCCTTGGTGTGGCTATCCAGGGAGGCATTTCTGCCCAGGAATTGGGTCTCACTGAGGCTTTTCCTTGGCCTGCCCTCCAAGCAGCTGCAGGCAGTGGGCAGGTGGAACTGGTTCTCCAGGCAAGGCTGGTGATGAGACATCTTCCTGTGTGTTTACATGGCACAAGCCCAGAACACCTGCAGACGGGGCCACGTCGGATGCCTTCTGATGCCATTTTCTATCCCCAAATACTCCCCTTGACCCTATGTCTGGATTGTTTTTGAAGGGGAGACTTCTTTTCTGTGAGTCAGAGCCCTCCCCCTTCCAACCTAGAGCACTACTGAGGCCACATCGGAGAGCTGGCAGCGGTCGGGGTCACTCTTGTCCACTAGATAAGTAGTTGATCAAAAGGGTTTAAGGAGACGGATCCACGGCCTTGAACAGCGGTTTCTCCTGAGCAGCTTATCTACCCGCTGCTCTGGGCCTGGTCTCACATGTGGCTCACATTGGGCCTCATTGTGACTTCATTCTGTATCTTTCTTCCCCATCAAAAGGTGAGGTTTTGCCCAGTGCCTCCCTTCCTTCTGACATCTGAAATTCCAGTTAGAGCGCATTCCACATCCTGAAGGCTTGGTCAACCAGCAAGACACAGCTGCTACTCAGAGAGGCATGGCCACATTCCTCCTCAGTGTCTGGTTTCTAGGAGGACACAGGACTGGGAGGACCTGTGGGAAGAAGGAAAGGGTGAGACAGTGACCAGGGAGGGAGGGCTGAGGAAGCTAAGGGTCGCTTCATCTGCTTTACAGTTTGGCCCTGGACTTTCATCCTGCTTTGGGCCAGATGTGGGAAAGAGGGTGACTAGAAACAGGGGTCCACAAGGACCCTCTGCTCCTCTTCCCCTGCATATGCCAAGTCTAAACCTCACTTTAAATATTAGATCAAAATAAGACGTCACTTCTCTGTGGAGTCTAAAATAGTCAAACGCATAGAAGCAGGGTGTCAAATGGTGGTCACCGGGGGGTGGGGCAATGGTTAAATGATACAAAGCTTCAGTTATGCAACATCAACAAGTTCTAGGGATTTACTATACAGTATAGTTCCTAGAGCTAACCCTCCTGTATTGCATACGTAAATGTGCAGAGGGTAGATCTTATGTTGCATTTTTTTTTTTTTGCTTTTTTTTTTTGAGATGGAGTCCCCCTCTGTCACCAGGCTGAAGTGCAGTGGCACAATCTTGGCTCACTGCAACCTTTGCCTCTCGGGTTTAAGCGATTCTCCTACCTCAGCCTCCTCAGTAGCTGGGACTACAGGCACCCACCACCACGTCCAGCTAATTTTTGTATTTTTAGTAGAGATGGGGTTTCACCATGTTGGCCAGGGTGGTCTTGATCTCTTGACCTCGTGATCCATCCGCCTCGGCCTTCCAAAGTGCTGGGATTACAGGCCTGAGCCACCACACCTGGCCCCGTGTTCTTTCTTTTTTGGAGACAGGGTCTTGCTTGGTTGCCCAGGCTGGAGTACAGTGGTGCAATCATAACTCACTGCAGTCTCAAACTCTTGGGCTGAAGCGATCCTCCCATCTCAGCCTCCCGAGTAGCAGGGACTACATGTGTGCACCACCACGCCCAGCTAATTTTCATATTTTTTTTGTAGCGATAGGATGTTGTCCAGGCAGGTCTGGAACTCCTGAGCTCAGGTGATCCTCCCACCTCGGCCTCCCAAAGCACTGAGATTACAGGCATGACCCACTGTGCCCAGCCTTGTGCTGTGTTTTTAACACAAACAGAGATGTGTGCACACACAAATAATAATAAACAGGGCAGGAGGAATCTTTGGGAGGTGATGGATGTGTTTATAGATTTGAGGTGGTAATGGTTTCACCGTTGTATACTTTATCCCCAAACTCGTTGAAATGTAGACATTAAATATATACAGCTTTTTTTTTTTAACATGCCAACCATACTTCATAAAGTTGTTTTAAAAAATAAGATCAACCCAATGGTAAACGTGGTGAACCCAACCCCCGCCTCTCTAACTTGTTGAGCTACAAAAGAGGAAGAAGCCAGGAGCACAGCCGCTGTTGGCTCCGTGCCTAATGACTGAAGCCTTCTATGAGTTGGGTTTGTTATCATGTTTGGCTCCTGGACTGGATTGTTTTCTTTCCTTTTTAAGACGTTTGAAGTCCTTTGATGAGCTGGTGTTTATAGTTCATGTTCTTTCATGCCAAACGAGCACTTCTTATTATCTAGAATTACAAAAGCATTTGGTGTTTTCCAAGCTTAGGTGGCCAGCTTCAGAATCCAAGAAGGAATTACTTTATACCATACAGGGGGGTTGGAAAAAGTCAGATGTAAATCAGATTTCTGACAGTTTAGTAATATTTAAAATTTATTAGAGAAGACACTAAAAGGAAACTTCTGATGAATTTTCTTTCTTTGTTTTCTTGGTAAAATGAAATCATTCACATTCTGCCATGAGTATAATTGCCTCTATTCTAGGCAATTTCTGTATTGTAAATTGGGACTTTGTGTTGGTGATTTTAGAGTAAGGCATGCCTGTTACGTAAATGCATTCTTGCTTTGGATCCTCTGCACAGTTTTCGTGTCTTTTCCTTCGATTCTTTTTCCTTGGCCACTTTTATTTTAATTGAACGGTGACTCATAAAGCAAGTGCATTCGAAGCTAGACCAAGATATTCAGGGACTGTCCCAAGAAACCCGGGCTGGCAGCCTCCCCAGTTGTAGGGGAAGCCATCGGTTTCCATAACCAGTCCAACTGGCAAAAGGTATTCATAGTCTGCAGTGCTTTTTAACTCACTGGTGTGGTGAGAACGGGTTGTACATCCCTTTTTTGCCAGCCCCGAGCAAATGAAACAATCACTGTTCACAGCCTCATCCTACAGAGCATTCAGAAACCACTTCCCCTAGAGATCTTTAAAAATAGACCTGAAAACAGGCCTCTGCCGCTTTGAGAGCTTTGGGGTGGGTCCTGCCTTGAAGCCGAGGAGCCCCTGATGGAGCCGGGGGCTTCTCTATCCTGGACTGCAGTCTCGGAACTCTGCCTTCAAGATTCCGTCAGATCCTGAGGGCAGCTGGAGTCACTGAATCCTGAATGACTTGGCGGGGAAGAAGCGATGACTCATGACTCGTAAGATTAGGCAGGACTTAAAGATGTGAGGCTGTTGGCTCATTGAGATGAAAGGTGGCCTTCTTCGCTCTCCTCTGAGAGGTTTCACGTGGGCCTCCGGTGCCCGGAAGAACAAGGAACAAGGTGCACCGGCTGTAGATCCGGCTTGCATGCTGCTTGAGCAAATGGCCAGGCAGGGCCACTCCCGGGTCTCGGGGCCCAGCCCTCCCCACAGCCTTGTCCCGATGGTCACTAAGGATGTGCCTCTCCAGCAATCAGGCAGGCCTGGAATATCAAAGGCAGATTCTTTTTTTTTTTTTTTGGTGTGAGGGGGGTGTTTCTTTAAAGTAATACGTACAGGATGTGCAGGTTTGTTACATAGGTAAATGTGTGTCATGGTGGTTTGCTGCACCTGTCAACCCATCACCTAGGTATGAAGCCTGCCATGCATTAGCTGTTTTCCCTAATGCTCTCCCCGTCCTTGCCCTCCCCCAACAGGCCCCAGTGTGTGATGTTCCCCTCCCTGTGTCCATGTGTTCTCATTGTTCAGCTCCCACTTACAAGAGAACATGCGGTGTTTGGCTTCCTGTTCCTGAGTTGGTTTGCTGAGGATGATGGCTTCTAGCTTCATCCATGTCCCTGCAAAGGACGTGATCTCGTTCCTTTTTATGGCTGGATAGTATACCGTGGTGTATATGTACTACAGTTTCTTTATCTAGTCTATCATTGACGGGCATTTGGGTTGATTCTATGTCTTTGCTATCGTGAATAGTGCTGCAGTGAACCTATGTGTGCATGTCTCTGTGGCGATTCCTCAAAGACTAAGAACCGGAAATACCATTTGACCCAGCAATCCCATTACTGGGTATATACCCCAAGGCAGATTCTTTTCCTTGTGTGATTCTGGGAGGCGCCAAGCAGAGGGTCTCTGATCGGACGGTTCTAGAAGTGAGGCAGCTTCTGGATTTCCACGCAAGAGATGAACATGAAAGAAGGCTTACCAGGGACCCCATTCTGGAGCCAGGGGACATTTGGGGCCCTGGGATCCAACCTTCCCCACCTTCCTAGCCCACCATGCCTCAGTGTTTATCCTCTACCATTCAGGTTCTCGTCTCCACGTTTCCAGGGCCCCACTGAGAAAGGCAGGGGCCACTCCCACAGCAAATTGACAATTAAAGGGGAACTGAAGTTCACATTCCTGTTCGGAGGTGGATGTCATTTCTGCTTCTCTGTGCATTGTCACCCACGAATGCATTTACTCAGCAAACACCTATTAAACAACTACTGTGTGTACAGCCCAGACTCTGCCTGGGCAGGTGGCTGGGAGTCCACACCCCTGCCACTGGATGTGTGCGTGTGTGTGTGTGTGTGTCTATCTGTCTAAGAGAGAGAGAGAGAGGAGAGAGGAGGGGTATGCAATAAATGCACCATTTTAATCTGGTTTTAGAGGCAGTGAGTGCTGCCTACAAATAGTGTGGGTTCAAGTAAGTCCCCCGGGCACATCCCTTCCTTGACTGACAGTTGAAGTTGGAGGTCGCCATAGACACCGCTGCCTTTGGAAAGGAAGAAGCCCCTGAAGGACGCAGCATATTTAGAAGTCGCATGTGGAGCACAGTGGGGTGCTGGGGATTCTTTAAGGATTTATTGTACAAATTTACCTACCTAGGTCCGTGGACATGTTTCTGTGTGTACACCGAGCTCTAAAGGAGTCTTTCTCAGTAGCAATAAATAGCAACACCTCCCTGTTTAGTCCCAGGGCCTCCGGGATCCCCTGGAAGCGGGGCCAGAGCCGGGGCTAAGGGAACAGAGCTCTGTCCTGGGAACGGAGCTTGTTCCATCTGGCTGTGACGTACGTTTTAATAACTCTGTTTCCTGCTGTCCTCAATCCGGTAGGTTAGGCTTCCCCCGTGGGCTGCCTGTCCTACATGGAAGTGCCTTCTACCTCGTTCTAGGCAGTATTTCAGGCTTAAATATCACCCTTCGCAAAGAATGTAAATGCTAGCGTGAGAGGGCGCAGAGTTAGACAGATTGCGGATTTAAGTAGTGATTATACCACTTCTCAGAAATGCCTGCACAATGATTAGTACCACATATATATCGTATGGGGGTGGCTTAAATCTCTTTGGAAGAGAGAGACTTCAAATGCAGCGGCACTGGTTTTAAAACAAGCTGAATTTAATGTCTGAGGGCCCATTCTATCACCAGGATGTCAATGCTATTGTGACATGGATTGAACCATTTAACCCCAAAGTCATGGGCAGACGCTTTTTCTGTTTCTAGAATGATGGAAAAGGAGAAGGAGGAGAAGGAGGAGGAGGGAGAGGAGGAGGAGGGAGAGGAGGAGGAGGGAGAGGAGAAGGAGGAGGAGGCAGAGGAGGAGAGGAGGAGGGGGAGGGGGAGGAGGAAGAAGAAGAAAGAAAGAAGAAGAAAAATCACACAAGGCCCTGTGACTGTTTTGCGAGGAGGAAAGAACTTCCCTTGGCCTCTTTATACCCTCTAGCTGAGCCCAGAAGAGACAGAGCTCTCCGGAACTGGGGTTTTCATGGCTGGGGCAGCCCTGCTAGTGTCCTCTGTGCTGGCTCACATTTTGTTTAAAGTCCCACCCTAGCTGGGATTTCATTTGCGATGTATGTCGCCCCTAATGTGGTAATAAATGCCTCAAAGTCATAACACCTGTTCCCACGGTATGTTTTCCCTCCGTTCTTTTTTTTTTTTTTTTTTTTTTTTTGAGACAGAGTCTTGCTCTGTCGCCCAGGCTGGAGTGCAATGATGTGATCACAGCTCACTGCAACCTCTCCATGCTAGGCTCAAGCCACCCTCCCACCCCGGGCCTCGCGAGTAGCTGGGACCACAGGCCCACATCACCACATCCATCTAGTTTTTTTTGTATTTTTGCTAGAGACAGGATCTTGCTATATTGCCCAGGCTGGTCTCGGACTCCTGAGCTCAAGCAATCCACCCGCCTTGGCCTTCCAAAGTGCTGGGATTACTAGGCATGAGCCACCATGCCCAGCCTTCCCCGGTATTCTTTATTCTGCCTGGTGTCTGCTTTGGGAAGTTCACGGACTGATGGGACAAACATGCACAATCATACAAGGAAGCTGGGGGTGCCAGGAGGGCTGCACTAAGGCCCTGAGACCCCCCTACATCGGGGGTCTGCCCAGACCCTGCATGGCCTCCGACTGGGTGGGTAAATCCAATCTGGGGTTGGTATTAGGAAACCACTTGTTTGCAGGTATTATATGCCACATTCTCCAATATCAATTTTATAAGAAATAGAGCTGATGCATTTGGTCTCCATCTGCCTAGATTCTTTGTCTCATTTCTCAATGGGCTCAGAACTTACAGCGGCAGGGTGCTCTTTTGGGGGCCATATTGAACTCCAGTAGTGACAGTTAGGTCAGCCCTAATGTCTGACAGTTAAAAGAAAAAGAATGTCAGGCCAATGCTATGTATCCAAAATGGTGGTCTCTGAAGTTGGGGAGCAGTGGGTGAACTTTCCTGGCACAGGGAACCGAAAACACAAGAGGCTTAGAAGTGGGAAGGCACAAGAGTGTCTGAAGACTGTGAAACCCTGAAGCTGCTGGAATACCAGGTGAGGAAAGAGGGGTTGAGAAGAAGCTAGAGAAATAGCCAGACCAATTCAAGCAGGGGTTGCAAGGCTACAGAAAAGTTTGCATTGTGTTCTAAATGCTATGGGAAGTCGCTGAAGGATCTTAAGCAGGGCAATGATGCGGGTCTGTTCACTCCTTCAGAAGTCGCTCTTTTTAACTCTGTAGAGAATGGTCTGGCTGTGGCCCCCGAGAATAGATGAAGAGAGAAGACTCAGGAGACTTTTGCACTAGTCCAGGGCAAGTCTAGATGATGCTTACCTAGACCACGATAGAAGCAATAAACCACTGGAGGGAAAGCCTCAGATGGGAGAGATCACTGGGAGAGCGAAGCCCCGGAATCTGCTGATGAATTGGATGTCGGGGGAGAGGGAAGAATTGGGGATGAATCCTAAGTTCTGGCTTCATGAGTGGATGGGTGTTGACGCCATTTATAGGGATGTGAAGACCGGGAGGATCCTGGGGAAGACCTTTACATTTCAGGTGTTTTAAGGCTTCTTGGAGGCAATATCAGGTAAGCAGTTGGATACAGGAGCTGACTCTCAGAGGGTCTTGAGGAACCCTGGCATTGAGAGGCATGTGTGGGAGGACATCCACGCAGAGGGGACAAGCGACCACATCCATGTCATCCTGCCTGGACAGTTATTTGGCTAGAGGACACTAATGACACAGCTATCGTGTATTATTCAGCAGGGCTTGGGGCTGGATGATATAGACAGCTTCCTTTGGAAAATTCTGTCTAGGAAGCCCAGCATTATAAAGGATTATTGTATGATTTCATTTTGGGGAAATTTTCATAACTTCTAGGATATTTTTTCTTCTCTATACGATACGTAGTTGTCAGTCATTTTCTCATTGAGGGCAAAAGTCGCAGAAGGCTTTTTATTCATTATTATTAATGTCCTTTGAAAAAAGACCCTTTAATTAATGTTCCTATTGGGCACAGAGCTTTTTAAAGACACCACTCCCTCCCTAACACACACAGCTGTGTTTTATAGACTAATTGTCACCTAACCAAGGGACCCCACAGGGATCTGCAATTTGTCCCACCTCTGCCCTGCCACACTTCCCTGCAACGCTCCTAATTGCTGAATCCCATTCAGCCTCATGAAAGTGGTGGCCGATATTTAAAGTTCATTTCAGGAAGGCTTCATAATAACTGGGGAAAATAACATAATCTCGTTTTAAAACATTTCCTTCCTCTGTTCTGCTGATAGAATCAAACAATCCAGAGTTCCATCTGTCCTGTCACAGGTCCAGATTTTAGGATGTGGTTTTGAAGTTACTTGTTTTCTTTGTTTCAGGGCACCTCTGGTGGGATTCCCTCCCCTTCTGGATGGGTGCAGGCTGTACCACTTGTCCCTTGGATTTGCAATTCCAGGAGGAAAATAATGAGCCAGCATTGTGGGAAAATGTCACTCTGCCCCAGTGATCAGTCTCTAAGACTGGGGAGGGAAGTCAAGCTTGAAACGGCAGAGTGGATTTTCTCTTCAAGGAGCACTTTTAAAGGTAATAGAGGCCAGGTGCAGTGGTTCATGCCTGTAATTCCAGCACTTTGGGAGGCCGAGGCAGGTGGATCACTTGAGGTCAGGAGTTCGAGACCAGCCTGACCAACATGGCGAAACCCCATCTCTACTAAAAATACAAAAATTAGCCAGGCATGATGGCAGGCGTCTGTGATCCCAGCTACTCAGGAGGCTGAGGCAGGAGAATCGCTTGAACCTGGGAGGCAGAGGTTGCAGTAAGCCGAGATCACACCACTTCACTCCACTCCAGCCTGGGTGACAGAGCGAGACTTTGTCTCAAAATAAATAAATAAATAAATAAATACATAGATAGATAGATAAATGTAATAAGGAAACACACAAACATACAATAGAGCAACAACCATAATAAAAGTCCAATTGCACATCTGTAAGTAACGTGCCAACATGCACTGCGGTTTGTCGGTCTTACCCCTCTGGTCCTCTGAACAACACAGGGCTTTTGTATGACATGATCTCAGTCCTGGGTGAAGGTGGAAAGGGATTGCTCCCTGCAGCTCTGTCAATTTCTCCTTTCCTGGTTTCCAACAAGCCCATCTCTTTCCCTCCTGCTTCCGGTGCAAGGGTAGGCAAACTTTTTCTGAAAGGAGCCAGATAGAAAATATTTTATTTTATTTTATTTTGAGACAGGGTCTCACTCTGTCACCCAGGCTGGAGTGCAGTGGCACAATCGTAGCTCACTGCAGCCTCAACCTTTGGGCGTGAGCCATCCTCTCACGTCAGTCCTCTGTGTAGGTGGGATTACAGGAATGCACCACCATGCCCAGCTAATTAAAAAAATTTTTTTTGGTCCAGCCTGGCCAACATGGCAAAACCCCATCTCTATTAAAAAATACAAGAATTAGCTGGGCATGATGGCGTGCACCTGTAGTCCCTGCTACTTGGGAGGCTGAGGCAGGAGAATCACTTGAACCCAGGAGGTGGAGGCTGCAGTGAGCTGAGATCGCACCACTGCACTCCAGCCTGGGTGACAGAGCAAGACTCTGTCTCAAAAAAAAAAAAAAAAAAAAGAATGGCCAAGCATGGTGGCTCACGCCTGTAATCTCAGCAATTTGGGAGGCCCAGGCGGGCGGATCACAAGGTCACAAGGTCAAGAGATCGAGACCATCCTGGCCACCATGGTAAAACCCCACCTCAACTAAATATACAAAAATTAGCTGGGTGTGGGGGCATATGCCTGTAGTCCCAGCTACTCAAGAGGCTGAGGCAGGAGAATCGCTTGAACCCGGGAGGCAGAGGTTGCAGTGAGCTGAGATCGCGCCATTGCACTCTGTCCTGGCGACAGGGCAAGACTTCGTCTCAAAAAAAAAAAAATTTTTTTTTTGTAGAGATGAAATCTTGCTGTGTTGCCTAGGCTGGTCTTGAACTCCTGGGCTCAAACGATCCTCCCTCCTCAGTCTCCCAAAGTGCTTAGGTTACAGGTGTGAGCCATGGCGCCCAGCCAGGAAATATTTTAGACTCTGTGGACCACACAATCTCTTTCACGCTGACTCAACTCCGTCCTGCAGCCTGAAAGCAGCCACAGACAATATGTGAACAGCTGAGGGTGACTGCGCTCCAGTGAAACTATTTCTGGATGTTGAAATTTGAATTTCAAATAATTTTCACATGTCATGAAGTAGTGTTCTTCTTTTGCTTTTTTTTTAACCATTTCAAAATGTAAAAACATTCTAAGCCCATGTGTTGCACAAAACCGGGCAGCAGGCAGGATGGACCTGGCTCATGGGCTGCGGTTTCCCGACCCTAATTTTTTTTTTTTTTTTTTGAGACAGAGTCTCACTCTGTCGCCCAGGCTGGAGTGCAGTGGCGCAATCTCAGCTCCCTGCAATCCCGCTTCCTGGGTTCAAGCAATTCTCCTGTCTCAGCCTCTTGAGTAGCTGGGATTACAGGCACGCGCCACCACACCTGGTTAATTTTTGTATTTTTAGTAGAAACAGGGTTTCACCATGTTGGCCAGGCTGGTGTCAAACTCCTGGCCTCAAGTGATCCTCCTGTCTCGACCTCCCAAAGTGTTGGGATTACAGGCGTGAGCCACTGCGCCTGGCCCTGACTCTTCTTAGTTTGTGGCTTCATCTTTGCCACCCTGATCAAAATCCCGTCTCTACCAGAGTCTCGCTCTGTCGCCAGGCTGGAGTGGGGTGGTGCGATCTCTGCTCCCTGCAGCCTCCGCCTCCCCGGTTCACGCAGGGATGTGAGTGCTAGTTTCTATCTGAGTGTGATAGAAAAGGGGGAAGGACCCTTCTCGTTCCTATTTTTTTATTCTTCATTGATTTCCCCCACTGCTTCTGCCTCTACGCTCATCTCCTCTGCTAGATGGTTCCATTTTCTTTTATGTTCCCCATCTTCCCTGTGAGCTCTAAATGCTCTTACAAGGTGTCTCATCAGACCTCACGGTTGGCCAGGCTTTGTGGCTCAGGCCTGTAATACCAGCACTTTGGGAGGCCAAGGCAGGAGGATTGCTTGAGGCAGGAGTTCAAGACCAGCCTGGGCAACATAGTGAGACCTCGTCTCTACAAAAATTAAAAAAAATAGCCAGGTGTGGTGGTGCACACCTCTGGCCCCAGCTATCTGGGAGGCAGAGGCAGAAAGATCCCTTGAGCCCAGGGGTTTGAGGCTGCAGTGAGCCATGACTGTGCCACTGCACTCCAGTCTAGGCAACAGAGTGAGATTCTGTCTCTAAAAAACAAACAAAAGAACTCACACTTTTGTTCCCGCCATGTCTCAAACCCATGGTGGCCAAATGCAATCCAAACTGTCTGTGGGATACAAGTTTTACAGGTTTGCAGCAAAATGAGAAAAATGGGGATGATGGAGGAAGTTTTCCATAAGGCTAAATTTACTCTCTTTGAAGGAGGACCTTTTATTCTAAGATGATGCCTTTTATACCTTTTGGGAATTACAGTGTCTGGTTCTTTGTGAAAGTAGATGGTGGTAATTCACAAACAAAAAAGTTACTCGTGCAAATTGCTTTTTTTCTTTTGATAATTTTACTAAAATTTGAAATCCAAAAGACTGAGAACATCATTATGATTTTGACTCCCAAGTCTGCATTTCCAACCCCAATTTCTCTCCTGGGTTCCAGACCCATAGATCTTAACTACCCAGTGGACGTCTTACCTGGATATGCGGTAAGCACTTCCAATGCAGCATAGCTAACTTGAAATATTTTATT